>NC_000017.11:7006262-7157777 GCF_000001405.40 Homo sapiens | reverse complement strand
AAAGCTATTGAAATAAAATTGTTTAAAAAAAGAAGGGAGTTTATCAGAAAGACAGCAGAATATCTCAGGGGTCTCTGGGCCAGGTTGCTACTGGGCCTTGTGTCAGAATGGGGATGGGTGCTTTTTCAGTCAGGGACCTGGGAAGTTCTCTCTGTGCTTGAGCTCTACCTCCTTGAGAGGTTCAGAGGCTCTGTCTCACTTTTTCCTCTTATAGTGGACTGGCTTCTCTGCTTTTCAGTTCAAATCTTTTTTTTTTTTTTTTTTTTTGAGACGCAGTCTCGATCTGTCACCAGGCTGGAGTGCAGTGGCACAATCTTGGCTCACTGCAACCTCCGCCTCCTGGGTTCAAGTGATTCTCCTGCCTCAGCTTCCTGAGTAGCTGGGACTACAGGCACACGCCACCATGCCTGGCTAATTTTTGTATTTTTAGCAGAGACTGGGTTTCACCATGTTGGCCAGGATGGTCTCCATCTCTTGACCTCGTGATCCGCCCACCTCGGCCTCCCAAAGTGCTGGGATTACAGGTGTGAGCCACCGCGCCCGGCCTCAATTCAAATCTTTACGACACTCCTGAATTTTTTTTTTTTTGGTTTTTAATTTTTTCATCCAACCCAAAATGTCAAACTCCTGAGTTTTATAGCTTGCAGATTCTCCCCCAGTTCTTTTTTAAAATTAAAGTGTTAGATTTATTTTAACACACCTGAATTGAGTGTTGAAAGGTGAAACAAATGCACAAGAACATATATGCAGTATTTCAAAGAGGAAGTATTTTCAAAAATGATGCTGTAGAAGAGATAAAGAATGTAATAATGGGGAATAGTTTAATCAAGAAGTTCTTATGGCATTTGATTTTAAACCATATGTAAATACAGCAGTCTCTGAAGAATTTGGCAAAGATTTTTTTTTCTATTTTCAGTCTTTTAAAGTAGATACAGATTTGCTTAGGATAAAGCTGACTTTAAGAGCACACAAAAGTTGAGCACAAAGTATAGGATGAAATTCAGAAATGCAGAGTGATGAAGAGGAAAAGATATGGAGTAGGCGCCTTCAACAGAAAACTGACCATCCAGGGCGATTACCTAATAGTCTCTCCTCTCTCTCTCTTTCTCTTTCTCTCTCTTTCTCTTTCTCTCTCTTTCTCTTTCTCTCTCTTTCTGTCTTCCCCCCCGCTCCCAAGTAGTGGGAAAGACACTGATTGGCTCTGTTGGATCAGCTGACTAACACTGGCCTGATCGATTGCAGCCAAAGGTCATGCCATGGCTGCTGCGGTGACCGCATGCGAAGGAGGGGAGAGTTCACAGAAACGTGGAGGCGGTGTTGGCGGTGGGATGTGGGGGAGGGAAAGCCAACAGTAGCCATCTCCTACATGCAAGTGCATATAGGAATTCAGTAGCTCACCAAGGAGGAGTTTCAACTCAGAGGAGGAGAAAAGATGAGTAAATGGTGGGGCGTAGGACATTGCTATCCAATCCATTGATCCCATAACTTTTTTTTTTTTAACTTTTGATGACGATAATAATGTACTTCTTTTTTTCTTTTTTTTTGAGGCAGTCTCGCTCTGTCGCCCAGGATGGAGTGCAGTGGCAAGATCTCGGCTCACTGC
The DNA here is from genome assembly GCF_000001405.40 of Homo sapiens. Taxonomy (NCBI): domain Eukaryota; kingdom Metazoa; phylum Chordata; class Mammalia; order Primates; family Hominidae; genus Homo; species Homo sapiens. Next base: position 7,156,174 of record NC_000017.11, on the reverse strand, counting down.
AACCTCCGCCTCCTGGGTTCATGCCATTCTCCTGCCTCAGCCTCCCAAGTAGCTGGGACTACAGGCGCCCATCACCACGCTGGGCTAATTTTTTATATTTTTAGTAGAGATGGGTTTCACCATGTTAGCCAGGATGGTCTCGATCTCCTGACCTTGTGATCCGCCCGCCTCAGCCTCCCGGAGTTCTGGGATTACAGGCATGAGCCACCGCGCCCGGCCAAAGAATGTATTTCTTATGTGTGAACTTTCTCAGTTCTGAACGCCTGGAATAATACTTCTCAAAAATTCTGTTTTTTTTTTTTTTTTTTTGAGATGGGGTATTGTTCTGTCACCCAGGCTGGAGTGCAGTGGCACCATCTCGGCTCACTGCAACCTCCACCTCCCAGGTTCAAGCGATTCTTCCACCTCAGCCTCCCGAGTAGGTGGGACTACAGGCGCGTGCCACCACGTCTGGCTAATTTTTGTATTTTTATTAGATTTGGGGTTTCACCATATTGGGCTGGCTGGTCTCAAACTCCTGACCTCGTGATCTGCCCGCCTCGGTCTCCCAAAGTGCTGGGATTACAGGCGTGAGCCACTGTGCCTAGCCAAAAATTCTGGCTAAAGGGTTATACTTCATCCTAACTGAATAAAGAAATGGTAGAATCAATACAAAGAGCTATGGCTCCTTTTCTATGAATTAAGAACTCAAGAACTTCTTCCCTCCCCACCTAAAGTCGCTTGCTTTTCCATAAATAAAACCTTTGAAACAGCCACTGAATGCATAACCTGTATGGTGGAAAACATTCTGTGGGCAATATCTTAATGCTTTGCTAAAATGAACCGTTCCATGATGTATTTCTACCAGTTGGTTCCCCAAAGCCCTTCCCACTAAATACAATGCCTTTAGCACAACAGACACTTTTAACATAAATTCATTCTATATTCAGATTTTTCAATTATAGTGCTTATGCTGTCATTTTTGTCAGGATAATAATAACAGGTATAAATAGCTCTCTTTCTGTAATCTAAAACCAACTGTAAAAGAAAGTAGACACCAAGATACCAAAAATATTTCATACTTAAAGCCAAATGCATTTAGTTCTTTTCCATGCAGCACGTCATAACAAAGTATCTATGCACTTACTGTTTCTTTTCCAAAGCAGCAATTTGGGCCAAACTTTGAGGATCTACTTGTCCCCCATGGTGAGTCATCTTACAATTTTTTTTTTTTTTTCCTTTGGAGACAGAGTCTTGCTCTGTCACCCAGGCTAGAGTGCAGTGGCACTATCTCGGCTCACTGCAACCTCCATGATATGGTTTGGCTGTGTCCCCACCCAAATCTCATCTTGAATTGTAGCTCCCATAATCCCCACATGTGGTAGGAGGAACCCAGTGGGAGGTAATTGAAACATGGGGGCAGGTCTTTCCTGTGCTGTTCTCCTGATGGTGAATAAGTCTCAGGAGATCTGATGGTTTTATAAATGGGAGTTCCGACACACAGACTCTCTTGCCTGCTGCCATATAAGACGTATCTTTGCTCCTTCTTTGCCTTCTGCCGTGATTGTGAGGCTTCCCCAGCCATGTGAAACTGTGAGTCCATTAAACCTCTTCTTCTTTATAAATTAGTCTCAGGTATGTCTTTATTAGCAGTGTGAGAACAGACTAATACAGTAAATTGGTACTGGTAGAGTGGGATGCTGCTGTAAAGATAGCTGATAATGTGGAAGCAACTTTGGAACTGGGTAGTGGGCAGAGGTTGGAACAGTTTGGAGGGCTCAGAAGAAGACAGGAAAATGTGGGAAAGTTTGGAACTTCCTAGAGACTTACTGAATGTCTTTGACCAAAATGTTGATAGTTATATGGATGATAAAGTCCAGGCTGATGTGGTCTTAGATGGGGGTGAGGAACTTGTTGGGAACTGGAGCAAAAGTGACTCTTACTGTGCTTTAGCAAAGAGACTGGCAGCTTTTTCTCCCTGCCCTAGAGATATGTGGAACTCTGAACTTAAGAGAGATGATTTTGGGTATCTGGTGGAATAAGTTTCTAAGCAGCAAAACATTCAAGAGGAAGCATTGCATAAAAATTTGGAAAATTTGCAACCTGACGATGCAATAGAATAGAAAAACCCGGCTGGGCATGGTTGCTCACACTTGTAATCCCAGCACTTTGGGAGGGAGAGGAGGGCGGATCACCTGAGGTCGGGAGTTCAAGACCAGCCTGACCAACATGGAGAAACCTCGTCTCACTAAAAATACAAAATTAGCCGGGCATGGTGGTGCATGCCTGTAATCCCAGCTACTTGGGAGGGTGAGGCAGGAGAATCACTTGAACCTGGGAGGCCTCTGCCGGTGAGTCAAGATCACACCATTGCACTCCAGCCTGGGCAACAAGAGCGAAATTCCGTCTCAAAAAAAAGAAAAAAAAGAAAAAAGAAATTGGAGGGAGTATAAATAAGAACAGTTACTATGGAAGACACTGTAAAGGACATAAAGAATAGAAATGAGAAAAGTGAACCAATGAAGTGGAAATATGGTAGATTAAAAACAATATGGGAAAATTATGTATATATATACATATATATAAGATGCAAAGGAAATTAAATATGCAATATATGCATAGTTGAAATCTCTAAAAAATAAAACCAAAACAATAGATAAAACATACAGCTAAAGATATAATTCAAGAAAGTTTTCTTGAAATTGGCCAGGCATGGTGGCTAATGCCTGTAACCCAGGCGTTTTGGGAGGCCAAGGAGGGAGGATCACTTGAGGCCAGGAGTTCGAAACCAGACCAGGTAACATAGTGAGACTCTGTCTCTCCTTTAAAAAGAAAAGAAAGTTCTCCTGAAATAAAAGAGGCTTGAATCTATGATGAAAGAGAAAGCTAGATGTCAGGGAAAACTGATCAAGAATGTTTTTGTTGAGACCTGGCCTAGTAAAGTTATTGAGTTTTAAAAATAAAGAAATTTATGAGCAGCCAGGAAAAAAGATAAATTCCTTTTTTCTTTTAGGGGATAAAAATCAGGCTAGCCTTGGATGTCTGCAGACCCATGTTGAATGCTGGAAGAGATGGAGCAAGTAGTCAAGGAAAGAAAACATGAGTCAGGGATTTCATTAAAAGACCATAAAGTTTTTTTCCCTCTCCCCTCTCCCCTCCTTCTGGCAACCACTGATCTTTTTACTGTCTCAATAGTTTTGCCTTTCCAGAATATAGTATAATATAGTTGGATATATATAATTTATAGCTTTTTCAGACTGACTTCTTCTTTTTGTTTTTTATTGTTTGTTTGTTTGTTTTTGAGACAGAGTTTTGCTCTCGTTGCCCAGGCTGGAGTGCAATGGTGTGATCTTGGCTCACCGCAACTTTTGCCTCTTGGGTTCAAGTGATTCTCCTGCCTCAACCTCCCGAGTAGCTGGGATTACAGGCATGCGCCACCACGCCCGGCTTGACTGACCTCTTTCACTTAGCAATATACACTTAAGCTTCCTCCATGTCTTTTCATGGCTTGATAGCTCATTTCTTTTTTAGCTGGATAATTTTCCTTTGCATGGATGTACCATAGTTTGCTTATCATTTCATGTACTGAAGGATCTGTTGGTTGCTTCCAATGTTTGGCAATTATGAAAAGCTGCTGTAGACATTTGTGTTGGGGTTTTCATGGGGATATAAGCATTCAACTCCTTTGGGTAAATACCTAGGAGCATGATTGCTGGATTGTATGGTAAGCCTATGTTTAGCTTTATTAGAAACTTCCAAACTGTCTTCCAGAGTGGTTATACTATTTTGCGTTCCAACCAGCAATGAATGAGAGTTTCTCTTGTTCCACATCCTTGCCAACATTTGGTGTTGTCAATGTTTTGGATTTTAGCCATTTTAATAGATGTGTAGCAGAGTTCAACTGTTATTTTATTTTATTTTATTTTATTTTATTTTATTTTTGAGACAGAGTCTTACTCTGCTGCCCAGGCTGGAGTGCAGTGATACGATCACTGCTCACTGCTGCCTTGACCTCTTGTCCTCCAGCAACCCTTCCACCTCAGCCTCCCAAGTAGCTGGAACCATGGTGTGTGGCACCAAGCCTGGCTAATTTAAAGAACGTTTTTTTGTAGAGACGGTGGTCTCCCTATGTTGCCCAGACTGGTCTCGAACTCCTGGGCACAAGTGATCCCCCAGCTTTGGCCACCCAGGTATGAGCCACCGTGCCTGACCATCCAAATGTTACTTTAATTTTAAATTCCCTAATGACATATGACGCTGAGCATCTTTTCATATGCTATTTGCCATATATGTGCCTTCTTTGGTGAGGTGTCTCTTCAGATATTTTGCCCATTTTGAAATTGTGTAGTTTATTTTCTTGATGTTCAGTTTTTGGAGTTTATTGTAAATTTTGGATACAACTCTTTATCAGATATGTGTTTTGGAAATATTTTCTCCCAGTCTGTGGCTTGTCTTTATTCTCTAAACCGTAGACAATTTTGAGAATGCATGATCTTAGGAAATATAGTTCTCATGAGCCCTTCTTGAAGAAATTACTGGAGGATAAACTCGAGTCAACTAAGGGCTAGCAAAAAAGTAAATTTTAGCAAAAGGAAGGCAGTGAATGTTTAATATATTTAACACAGAACTAAGACCAAAACAGGCCAGGTCCAGTGACTCACACCTGTAATCCCAGCACTTTGGGAGGCTGAGGCAGGTGTATCACTTGAGCCCAGGAGTTCCAGACCAGCCTGGACAACATGGCAAAACCCTGTGTCTACAAAAATTAGCCGGGTATGGTGGCTTGCCCCTGTAGTTCCAGCTACTTTGGAGGCTGATGTGGGAGGATTGCTTGAGCCTGGGAGGCAGAGGTGGCAGTGAGCTAAGATTATGCTCCTGTACTCAAGCCTGGGTGACAAAACAACAACAACAACAAACAAACCAAATTTAAAAGACTGGATAATTGTCTAGGAAAATGTTATTTATCAAAAAGACTCCAGGCCGGGCGTGGTGGCTCACACCTGTAATCCCAGCACTTTGGGAAGCTGAGGTGGGCGGATCACCTGAGGTTGGGAGTTTGAGACCAGCCTGACCAACATGGAGAAATCCCATCTCTACTAAAAATACAAAATTAGCCAGGCATGGTGGTGCATGCCTGTAATCCCAGCTACTCAGGAGGCTGAGACAGGAGAATCACTTGAACCTGGGAGATGGAGGTTGCAATGAGCTGAGATCGCAACATTGCACTCCAGCCTGGGCAACAAGAGTGAAATTCCATCTCAAAAACAAAAACAAAAAACACAAAAAACAAAAAAAAACAAAAAAAACTCCTCCAGAAGAGAAAAAATATAAACAAACATTTCTATAAAAGAAATACATAGGGCTGGGCGCGGTGGCTCACGCCTGTAATCCCAGCACTTTGGAAGGCCAAGGCGGGTGGATCACGAGGTCAGGAGATGGAGACCATCCTGGCTAACACGGTGAAACCCCGTCTCTACTAAAAATACAAAAAATACTCTGGGCGTGGTGGCGGGCGCCTGTAGTCCCAGCTACTCCGGAGGCTGAGGCAGGAGAATGGCATGAGCCTGGGAGGCGGAGCTTGCAGCGAGCCGAGATTGCAACACTGCACTCCAGCCTGGGCAACAGAGCAAGACTCCGTCTCAAAAAAAAAAAAAAAAAAAAAGGAAATACATAGACTGGGTGCGGTGGCTCACTCTTGTAATTCCAGCACTTTGGGAGGCCGAGGCGGGTGGATCACTTGAGGTCAGGAGTTCCAGACCACCCTGGCCAACATGGCGAAACCCCATCTCTACTAAAATTACAAAAATTAGCCGGGTGTGGTGGTGGGCGCCTGTAATCCCAGCTACTCGGAAGCCTGAGGCAGGAGAATCACTTGAACTCGAGAGGCAGAGGTTGCAGTGAGCTGAGATTGCACCTCTGCACTCCAGCCTGGGCAACAGAGTGAGACTCCATCTAAATAAAAAAGAAAAGAAAAGAAATAATGAATTAATTAACATATACATATTTGTAACAAACAAGAAAAGATACCCATGTTTGCTACAGCAGTTATTTCTGCCATGGTTGCAAAGCTGTAGTTGATGTAACTGCCTTCGTTTTTTTTTTTTTTTTTTTTTTTTTGAGACAGAATCTCCCTCTGTCTCCCAGGCTGGAGTGCAGTGGTGTGATCTTGGCTCACTGCAACCTCTGCCTCCTAGGTTCACGCAATTCTCCTGCCTCAGCCTCCCAAGTAGCTGGGATTACAGGCACCCGCCGCCACGCCCAGCTAATTTTTGTATTTTTAGTAGAGATGGGGTTTCACCATGTTTGCCAGGCTGGTCTCAAACTCCTGACCTCAAGTGATCCACCCACCTCAGCCTCCCAAAATGCTGGGATTACAGGCGTGAGCCACCGCGTCTGCCTGTCACTTCTTTCTTCCACTACCCATTGAATGTTCCCTCTGCCTTCAACCAGCACCTTGGCAGACAGGGGGTCTTTTTCTGATGGGAAAACACAAATCATCATTTCTGCAGGGTCTGAAGCCTTTATTGGGTTGTTATAGTTTCTGTGAAATTGTATTACAAGGCATTGGGCCCCCTGAGTTCTAGATACACCCCTTCCCCCACTGTGTAGCAGCAACCTCCTTTCCCCTTGATAACCAGGATCAGTCATCCCAGGCAGTCCAGGGACCTCTCTTTTCCTATTGCTCAGCGGTAGGAAGGGCCCCAAATGGCCACAGGGGAAACCTCCACTTCCAGTTCAGTGGAACTGATTATGTTTCCTGATGGAAGCATTTCACCCTTGGGAATTATGACCTCTAAAGTTGGTAGAACTCAAACACAGGTGAGTTATTAAATGTAATAGGGAGGCCTGGCATGGTGGCTCACCCTGTAATCCCAGCACTTTGGGAGGCCGAGGCGGGCAGATCACGAGGTCAGGAGTTCAAGACCAGCCCGGCCAACGTGGTGAAACCCCATCTCTACTAAAAAAAAAAAAAATACAAAAATCCCAGCTTCTCAGGAGGTTGAGGCAGGAGAATCACTTGAACCTGGGAGGCAGAGGTTGCAGTGAGCCAAGATTGCACAACTGCACTCCAGCCTGGGCAACAGGGCAAGACTCCGTCTCAAAAAAAAAAAAAAAAAGTAATAGGGAGAAAAACACTTTGATTTCTGGACCTGTGAATTCTCACTAGAGAGGAATTGTTCAAATGCTATGGAGTATCCTGTAGGCTGGCACCCCCATCCTGCAGGGGCCTGTCTTCCAGCTGGCATAATTGTGGAGTGTTTACTTGGTAATTCCATTGTATCAGGCAAGTTGCTTCTGGGTGATGGGGTACGTGGTAAGATCAATGGATTCCATGGCTTGAGCCCATATGCCGCAGTTCTTTTGCTGTGAGTTGCTTGCTCTGGAGTGTGTTGTGTATACTATGACAGTGAACACAGCTTTCTGAAACTCCATGGAGGACAGTGCTGGCAGGAGCACTGCGGGCAGGGAAAGGCAAACCTATACGCTGAATTATGAGTCAATTTATATGTTACACCCTTCATGAGGTCCTTCGCCATTAACTTATAAGCTGCTACCAGGTAGGTGACTGGCTGGTCTGTTATTCCCACTCCGCTCTGAGGTCCGGCCTGTGGATTCTTTCTTCTATAATACATTATACCAGGGAAGTTTGGTATCATATCAATCTCAATCAGCAGAGACCACTCCTGAGGACACCAGATATCTTTTTTTTTTTTTGAGACGGAGTCTTGCACTCTCGCCCAAGCTGGAGTGCAGTGGTGTGATCTCGGCTCACTGCAAGCTCCGCCTCCCGGGTTCACGCCATTCTCCTGCCTCAGCCTCCCGAGTAGCTGGGACTACAGGCGCCCGCCACCACACCCGGCTAATTTTTTTTTGTATTTTTAGTAGAGACAGGGTTTCACTGTGTTAGCCAGGATGGTCTCGATCTCCTGACCTCGTGATCCACCTGCCTCGGCCTCCCAAAGTGCTGGGATTACAGGTGTGAGCCGCCGCGCCCGGCCAAGAGGACACCAGATTTCAGTCAACCAACCAAGCAAATCATTAGCGCTGCTCTCAGCTACTTTGACTCACTGCAGTGAACCTAGAATCTCTAGGAAGTGCACTCTTACTAATGAAGGGCTAGGTGGCGCCTAGGCCTGTCTCTGTAATGTGATGGCTCAGAACAGGCAATGACTAAAGTCTCAAATACATTATCAAGGGCAGCCTGGCTAGATCATGAAAACAGAAACTTGACCTAGATCTGCCTAAGCTGTGTCTCCTCCCGGGACCAACTTGAGGTACTCTGGTGTAACCTACAGCTGATTGATCAGAGCAGCTTTGGCTACAGGTTATACCAGAGTGCCTCAAGCTGGTCTTGGGAGGAGATACACCTTAGACAGATCTCCATAGTGGAGGGGGATGTACAAGCAATGCCAAGAGAGGCTTGGGCAGGTGGGGAATAGCCAGACATGCATCTGGCAGGAAAAGTGGGGAGGACATTGTGGCTTGCAGGTTCTCCTATCTCACTCTGAACATTCATGACCAGAGACACTGAGGACCGACCTCCCCGGGCTGCAAGGTGCTGCCTCCTTCAAGGGCCCAGGAGGTTAAATGTGTTATAACAATTAGTGAGAATGCAATCACTTTTTTGGCGTCAGTGGGGTGGGTAAAAGTCACAGAAAGAACAGTGTATTCACAGAGACCAGCTTCTACCTGTGTACAGACGCAGAAGCAGTCTCCAGTGGCAGGCTTTGCTTGTCCAGGAAGCAAATCCTTATGTTGGCCATAAGGATTCTGTGCTCATCAACTTTGCATCCGATGTGCACATAAAGCACATGGTCATCTTTAAAAACCTGTGCTGTTGCCCGGGATGCAGTGGCTCACACCTGTAATCCTGGCACTTTGGGAGGCCAAGGTGGGTGGATCGCAAGGTCAGGAGTTTGAGACCAGCCCGGCCAACACGGTGAAACCCCGTCTCTACTAAAAATACAAAAGTTAGCTGGGCGTGGTGGCAGGCACCTGTAGTCCCAGCTACTCGGGAGGTTGAGGCAGGAGACTCGCTTGAAGCCGGGAGGCGGAAATTGCAGTGAGCCGAGGTCACGCCACTGCACTCCAGCCTGGGCGACAGAGCGAGACTCCATCTCAAAAAACCTGTGCTGTCACAAAGTAACCAAATCTACCAATAAACATTTCTCTCCATACAAACATTAGGATTATTATATAATAAAATCCTGCAAGTGAGGAATGCATCCTGCAAAATTTGTGCTAATGAGTTCCTATTTTGGAACCCACATTTGATTAAGTTCCTCATTGGCAAGATTCCAGAGTTGGCAAAAAGGGCAAGGGTAAGATGGTATCGCTGTTTTCACAGCTGGGTCAGTCTGGAGCATTAGCAATGAAGTTTGTTCTTTTTGTCCTTTTAAGACTCACTCTGAGCCGGGTATGTGGCTCACGCCTGTAATCCCAGCACTTTGGGAGGCCAAGGCGGGTGGATCACCTGAGGTCAGGAGTTCGAGACCAGCCTAGCCAGCAGGGTGAAACCCTGTCTCTACTAAAAATACAAAAAAATTAGCCGGGTATGGTGGCAGGTGCCTGTAATTCCAGCTACTTGGGAGTCTGAGGCAGGAGAATCGCTTGAATCTGGGAGGCGGAGGTTGCAGTGAGCCGAGATGGCGCCACTGCACTCCAGCCTGGGAGACAGAGTGAGACTCGGTCTTAAAAAAAAAAAAAAAAAAAAAAAAAGACCTACTCTGGGCCATTCTGCTGTGACTACTGACTACTTTGAAGTGACTTGACCTCACCTCCTTTGTTTTTCTCTGCAGTTTCTAGGCCACTCCGTGGAGGAAATTCCTTCTTTCCTTTGGATAAATTCCTCTAATTTAAGCTCCCATCGTCATAGCGATCTGCATTCCATCATCCACAAGGCAAAGGAAAGCATTTGCCATCAAACAAGCTTCAGTTGTATTTTCCTTGTTTTTCTGCAGAGGAGTTCCAGGCTGGTGGGTGGCTCTGGGCGGGGCAGTGGGCTTTGCAGCTTCCCCTCCTCTCTGCTCCCTCTCTTTTCCTTGGGCTTGGGGGTTTCCTTGCTCAGGTGACTGGGGCGACCCCGCCCTCTCCAGCGCAGGGCCACACTTTCTGATTTTGTGGAGAAGAGGACAATTTACACACACCCAAAATCCAAAATGCAACTCAATGTACCATAACACTTTTTGATCTGAGACAGGTCTCAATCAATTTAGAACGTTTATTTTGCCAAGGTTAAGGATGCACCCGTGACACAGTCTCAGGAGGTCCTGATGACATGTGGCCAGGGTGGTTGGGGTACAGCTTGCTTTTATACATTTTAGGGAGACATGAGACAGTGGGGGTGGGGAAGGGGGGAGGGAGAGGGGCTTCCAGATCATAGGTAGAGGAGAGACAAAAGGTTGCATCCTTTTAAGTCCTTGATCAGCCTTTCACTGAACACACAATTTAGTCTGGCTCAGTGTGGGCAAATTGTGAGGGAGGTATGTAGGCTTTTTCATCTTTGTAGCTATCTTATTTAGGAATAAAATGGGAGGAATAAAAAGGCAAACCTTTGCCTGACTTTTCCTTTGGCTTAGTGATTTTGGGATCCTGAGATTGCGGGTTTTTTTTTTTTTTTTTTTTTTGAGACGAAGTCGCCCAGGCTGGAGTGCAGAGGTGTGTGAAGTCGCCCAGGCTGGAGTGCAGAGGTGTGCGGCTCAATGCAACCTCCGTCTCCTGGGTCCAAGCGATTATCCTGCCTCAGCCTCTAGAGTAGCTGGGATTACAGGCGTGAGCCACCACGCCCAGCCAGTCTTTGTAGTTTTAGCAGGGATGGGGTTTCACCATGTTGGCCAGTCTGGTCCTGAACTCCTGACCTCAGGTGATCCGCCAGCCTTGGCCTCCCAAAGTGCTGGGATTTAAGGAGTGCGCCACTGTGCCTGGCCCCGAGATTTATTTTCCTTTCACAGATCTAACGACTGGAGTTCTTGTCCTTTATTTTGTTTAGAAACAAAATAAAGATTCTTCAATGTCCCTCAAGAGGATGGTGCTCAGCTGAGCAATACGGTTTGTTGTTCAAGGGAGGTGCTAAATCCTTCAATACACACATCACTTAGGTACACTAAATTATTAATTGTATTTTTTATTGCAAATATTTAATGACCTAAAAATACAGAGGGTAATACTCCCACTGGTGAGATGAAAACTTAGCTTTGTTTTGGGAGCAAATAAACTCTTCATTATCAGCACTTTCTGGGGTTGGGGAAGTGCAGGTTGCCTGTTTAAAAACAAATTAACTTGTTACAAACGATTAAAACAAAAATTACATACCAGAGGTACAACCTATGCAGACAAACATTAACAACAAATCTACGGAGAGAGGTTGTGTATGTGTGGGGGTGGGGGGGGTGGGGTAGGGAGTATATGGGAAATCTTTGTGCCTTTATTTATTTATTTATTATTTATTTATTGAGACAGGGTCTTGCTCTGTTGCCCAGGCTGGAGTGCAGTGGTACAATCGTGGCTCACTTTAGCCTCGAGCTCCTGGGCTCAAGTGATCTTCCTGCCGCAGACTCCTGAGTGACTGGGACTGAGACAGGAGTTTGTCAGGACAGGTTTTGCAAGGTACAGGTCACGAGGACCCCGCTGCTGAAACAAGATGCGGTACATAAGTGGATCGAAGCCCGCCAAAACCAAGATGACAACTGAAGTGACCTCTGGTTGTCCTCACTATTCACGATACACTCATTATAACAAATGAGCATGCTAAAAGACACGCCCACCAGCGCCAGGACAGTTTACAAACGCCATGGCAACACTTGGAAGTTACCCTATGTGGTCTGAAAGCGGGGGGAACCCTCAGTTCCAGGAATGGCTGCTCCTTTCCGGAAAACCTCATGAATAACCCACCCCTTGTTTAGCATAAGATCAAGAAATAATACTCCATTTGAAAAATAAATGAATTAAAAAAAGAAATAAGCATAAAAATAGCCAACTAGTGGCCCTTGGAGCTGCTCTGCCTATGGAGTAGGCACTCTTTTCTCCCTTTACTTTCTTAGTAAACTTGCTTTCACTTTACTCTGTTGGCTCCCTCTGTTTTTTTTTTTTTTTTTTTTTTTTTGAGACAGAGTCTCTCACTATCACCCAAGCTGGAGTGCAGTGGCGCGATCTCGGCTCACTGCAACCTCCGCCTCCCGGGTTCAAGCGATTCTCCTGCCTCAGCCTCCCAAGTAGCTGGGATTACAGGTGCCTGCCACCACGCCCAGCTAATTTTTTGTATTTTTAGTAGAGATGGCGTTTCACCATGTTGGCCAGGCTGGTCTCAAACTCCTGACCTTGTCATTCGCCCGCCTCAGCCTCCCAAAGTGCTGGGATTACAGGCATGAGTCACCGCGCCCGGCCTTTTTTATTTTTTTATTTTTTTTGAGACAGAGTCTCATTGTGTTACCCAGGCTGGAGTGCAGTGGCACAATCTGGGCTCACTGCAACCTCCACCTCCCGGGTTCAAGCGATTCTCCTGCCTCAGCCTCCTGAGTAGCTGGGATTACAGGTGCGCACCACCACACCTGGCTAATTTTTGTATTTTTAGTAGAGACGGGGTTTCGCCATGTTGGCCAGGCTGGTCTCAAACCCCTGACCTCAGATGATCTGCCCACCTTGGCCTCCCAAAGTGCTGGAATTACAGGCTTGAGCTGTTGACTCCCTCTTGAGTTCCTTCCTGTGTAAAGCCAAGAACCCATGTGACCTCCTGGGCTGAGCCTCTAATTTTGGGGTCGCCCTGTGACAGGATTACAGGCATGTGCTACCACGCCTGGCTAATTTTTTTTTTTTGGAGGGAGAGGGGTCTCACTATGTTGCCCAGGCTGGTCTCGAGCTCCTGGGCTCAAGCCATTCTCCTGCCTCAGCCTCCCAAATTGCTGGGATTACTGGCAGGAGCCACTTTGATAGACCAGTATTTTTTTTGAAGGAGAATTAAAAAAAGAATTTATGTACAGAAAACTCAACAGTGGACGTTTAACCCAGTTTAGTGGCAAGTTCTTTAGCCTTTGCCTTTTGCAGTTTAGCAATGTCTGAGCCAGATTTTGGACCCAGGGCATTGCTGTAGCCACCCAACGGGTTCACCTTGCCTGCTGCCTAGACACAGCCGATTTATTAAGACAGGGAAATTGCAATGGAGAAAGAGCAATTCACGCAGAGCCGGCTGTGCGGGAGACCGGAGGCTTTTTCTTTTGAGATGGAGTTTCACTCTTGTTGCCCAGGCTGGAGTGCAATGGCGTGATCTCAGCTCACTGCAGCCTCCAACTCCCAGGTTCAAGAGATTCTCCTGCCTCAGCCTCTTGAGTGGCTGGGACTACAGGCGCGTGCCACCATGCCCAGCTAATTTTTGTATTTTTAGTAGAGACGGGGTTTCACCATGTTGGCCAGGATGGTCTCGATCTCTTGACCTCGTAATCCCCCCATCTCAGCCTCCCAAAGGGCTGTGATTACAGGCGTGAACCACCACGCGCGGCCTGTCAGGCCTCTGAGCCCAAGCTAAGGCATCACATCCCCTGTGACCTGCACGTATACATCCAGGTGGCCTGAAGCAACTGAAGATCCACAAAAAAAGTGAAAATAGCCTTAACTGATGACATTCCACCATTGTGATTTGTTTCTGCCCCACCCTGACTGATCAATGTGCTTTGCAATCTCTCCCAACCTTAAGAAGGTTCTTTGTAATCTCCCACAACCTTAAGAAGGTTCTTTGTAATCTCCCACAACCTTAAGAAGGTTCTTTGTAATTCTCCCCACCCATGTATACTTTGTGAGATCCACTCCCTGCCTGCAAAACATTGCTCCTAACTCCACCGCCTATCCCAACACCTGTAAGAGCTAGTGATAATCCCACCACTCTTTGCTGACTCTCTTTTCGGACTCAGCCCGCCTGCACGCAGGTGAAATAAATAGCCTTGTTGCTCACACAAAGCCTGTTCGGTGGGCTCTTCACTCGGACGCACGTGACACGGCCCAGAGTTTTACTATTTCTCAAATCAGTCTCCCAGCATTCAGAGATCAGAGTTTTTAAAGATAATTTGGCGGATAGGGGCTTGGGAAGTGAGGAGCGCTGACTGGTCAGGTTGGAGACGGAATCATAGGAGATCAAAGTGAGATTTTCTTGCTGTCTTCTGTTCCTGGGTGCGGTGGCAGAACTGGTTAGGTCAGATTATGAGTCTGGGTGGTGTCAGCTGATCTATCGAGTGCAGGGTCTGAAAAGTATCTCAAGTACTGATCTTAGGTTTTACAATAGTGATGTTATTCCCAGGAGCAATGTGGGGAAGTTCCGACTCTTAGAGTCAGAGTCTGCATGACCCCTAAACTACAATTTCTGATCTCGTAGCTAATCTGTTAGTCTTGCAAAGGCAGACTGGTCCCCAGGCAAGAAGAGTCTTTTCGGTTAAGGGCTATTATCAATTTTGTTTCAGAGTCAAACCACGAGCTGAATTCCTCCCCGAAGTTTGTTCAGCCCACGCCGAGGAATGGACAAGGACAGCTTAAAGGTTAGACGCAAGATGGAGTCGGTTAGGTCTGATTTCTTTCACTGTCATAATTTCCTCAGTTATAATTTTTGCAAAGGAGGTTCCATTGCCTCCCCAGTGACTGTGGATCTCGTCACACCTGCCATTGTAATCGGTCCTGATAGCTTCCGCCACCTTAGCCAGAGCTGCTTTGTCTTCCCAGTGAGCCTGTGTGAAGGTGACAGTCTTTTCTGGGGTCTTCCTGCAGACCAGGCATCTCCGTCCTGCCTTCCCCTGGATAACGCAGTAAGGGAACCCCACTGTAGGACACAGCGCAGACAGAGAGACAGCAAGCTCGACGAGAGTCACGTGCAGTCACCACCAGCTGAGGCTTCTTGTTCTCCACCAAGGTGCTGTCGGGGTTAACCCTGCTCGTGGGACAGTTGGGGTCTTCATGGAGATGCCCCCTTTGCCGGCAGCTTTCTTCTCTGCACGGGCCAATAGCCTCTGCTTCTTTTCTTGCCCTGTCTCTGGTCTGTACCATGGTCCAGCTGATGCAGTTGAGGAGCTGTTTTCTCGGTCCAAGGCCTGGATGAGTCGGTCACTTGCAGGAGGCACTTTCAGCTGCTCGTGGAGGTCAGCCGTTTGCCACTGCAACCAGATGTAGTTGGGCCATTCAACAATCAACAAAGCAGGTGAGGTCCCTTTTGGGCTGGATAGCCTGTTCAATGCCAGATTCTTAAGCCTTTTCTCAAATGCCGAAATTCTTTTTTTTTTTTTTTTTTTTTTGAGACGGAGTCTCACTCTGTTGCCCAGGCTGGAGTGCGGTGGCGCGATCTTGGCTCACTTCAACCTCTGCCTGCTGGGTTCAAGCAATGAGCAATGAGCCACTGTGCCCGGCCTCGACTGCCTTCTTATTTCTGCGATTGCCACCAGATGCTGCTGCTGCAAACAAGTCCCGCTCAGCCAGAGGCCACCCCTGCCGTGGCTGCGCTGTAGTCACCGTGGATCTGGCTATAGTTTGATGCAGTAATACGGGAGCTAAAAAGAAATTACTTAGGCAGTTGGTGAGGGTAAGAGAGTCCTCGGTAAGGCATCCCTTTTAACAAAAAGCAGCCCCCACATCATTTCTTTTCTAACAAAGAGCAGCCTGTAAAATCGAGCTGCAGACATTGACAGGCAAGCTGGAAGCTTGAACGGGTGAATGGCGGCAGCCGTGCCAATCGGAAAAGGCTACCTGGGGCCAGGCATGTTCAACATGGAGGCTTCATCTTCCCTTTTCCTTATCAACCACCTGTACAGTAAAGGAAGCAGCAACATGATGCCAACCAGGTAGAGAATCCATTTGCATAATAAAAGATTAGGGTGGGGCGGCCAGCTTCTTCTTGCACTATGTAAATGGCATACCTGGTCCCGCAATCTTTTGGGCTCTGTGTAAATCAGACACTGCCTGGCCGGGTGGGTGCGGCGGCTCTCGCCTATAATCCCAGCACTTTGGGAGGCTGAGCCGGGTGGATCACCTGATGTCAGGAGTTTGAGACCAGCCTGACCAACATGGTGAAACCCCGTCTCTACTAAAAATACAAAAATTAGCCGGGCGTGGTGTGCATGCCTGTAATTCCAGCTACTCGGGAGGCTGAGGCAGGAGAATCCCTTGAACCTGGGAGGCAGAGGTTGCGGTGAGCCGAGATCGTGCCACTGCACTCCAGCCTGGGCAACAAGAGCGAAACTCTGTCTCAAAAACAAAACAAAACAAAACAAGGCAAAACCTCCAAATCAGACACTGCCTCCTCAAGCTCACCTATAACACCCAGTGCATTTCACCTCGGAGCCAGAAGACCGACTTGGGAGCCCCTCCCTCTCTGCAGGAGAGAGAGCTTTTCTTTCTCTTGCCTATTAAACCTCTGCTCTTAAACTCACTCGTCGTGTGTGCCTGCATCCTCAATTTCCTTGGCATGAGACGATGAACCTTGGGTATTACCTCAGACAACGAGCTTCAAAAGCTTAATGGAACAGACCGTCTACCCCTGTTGTGCCCTGCTTAGCTCTGTCCCGGAAGCCACTAGGCACCTAGGCTGTGACAGTTTCAGTCTTTAACCCCCAATGACAGCTTGCTCAGGGCACACCCAGTCCCTCCTTAGTGCTGCTGAGCAACTGCACCGTGTCCTCGGGCTCCAGAGGAAAAAACACTTCAGTTCATAGCCCTGCTCAGCAGAGGTCCTCAAAGCACATCTTCTCAGCCTCTATCTGGTGAGGGGGCACCTTCAGCCTGTGCCAAACGCGGCTTCCCTCACAAACCCTACCAGGCCTTAGCACTGATACAGGATTCTAGGGACTGAATGTTTCTGTCCTCCCCACCCCGGATTCATAGGTGGAAGCCCTACTCCACAGTGTGATGATATTTGGAGGTGGGGCCTTTGGGAGATAATTACATTTAGATGAGGTTGTGAGGGTGGGGTCCCCACGATAGGATTTGTGCCCTTGTTGGAAGAGAAGGAGGCCAGAGTGTGCTCTCTCATCCACGTGAGGACACAGCAAGAAGGTGGCTGTCTGTAAACCAGGAAGTGAGCCCTCCCCAGACACTGGATCTGCCGGTACCTTCACCTTGGGCTTCCTAGCCTCCAGAACTGTGAGAAAGAAATGTTTTTTTTTTGTTTAAGCCATTCAGTCCGTGGTGTTTTGCAATGGCAGTGCAAGCTGACTAAGACACAGGGTCACTTGTTCTATTTCCTCTTCAGTCATGATGGGCTTCCCTCGGGCCCTTTGGTGCCTTTCCCCGTCAGTGGACTTCAGCTAGAGCCTCTGTTCATCACAGAGGTTCTAAGGACATTAGATCTCCAAAAGAAAGGGACTAGGGTCTCAAATTTCTTTGCTTCACAGAAGCTTTTTGGCCCCACCTTTCAGTGACCTGTCTGCAAACCAAAACTGGCAAAGAAGGGCAGTCTCCCCTGAGCCACTGGAGAAGTCCTGCCTCCCCTGCCTGGGGTAGGCGACGGCTGGCTTCCCACTTAAACAGTTAAGGGGAGCTGCTCAGTGCTTACAAAGTCATTTGCTAACTTGCCTAGACAAAGAAGTTATTAGTAACTTTTACATGTCAGCTTGGGTAAACAAAACAAGTTTAAGTTCCTGTAATCAGGCAGCATGTTTTTATTATTATTATTATTATTTTATTATTTGAGATGAAGTATTGCTCTGTCGCCCAGGCTGGAGTGCAGCGGTGCAATCTCGGCTCACCACAAGCTCCGCCTCTCAGGTGCACACCATTCTCCTGTCTCGGCCTCCGGAGTAGCTGGGACTACCGGCGTCCGCCACCACGCCCGGCTAATTTTTTTGTATTTTTAGTAGAGACGGGGTGTTTCACCGTGTTAGCCTGGATGGTCTCCATCTGCTGACTTCGTGATCTGCCCACCTCAGCCTCCCAAAGTGCTGGGATTACAGGCGTGAGCCACCGCGCCTGGCCACCATGTTTTATTATTAAAAGTTAATGGGGGCCGGGCATGGTGGCTCACGCCTGTAATCCCAGCACTTTGGGAGGTCGAAGCGGGCGCATCACCTGAGGTCAGGAGTTCGAGACCAGCCTGGCCAACGTGGTGAAACTCTGTCTCTACTAAAAACACCAAAATTAGCCGGGCATGGTGGTGGGTGCCTGTGGTCCCAGCTACTTGGAAGGCTGAGGGGGAAGAACTGCTTGCACTTGGAAAGCAGAGATTACAGTGAGCCAACATCGCGCCATTGCACTCCAGCCTGGGCGACAGAGTGAAACTCCATCTCAAAAACAAAACAAAAAAAGTTAATGGGAAGAAAAGCTATAGCCAGCAAAGGTCACAGGCAGGCTGGGTGGCTATGAGACCCCTCAGAGAGGCTGGGGCTGGGAAGGGGTGTAGGGAGGGTAGATTACATTCAGACTGACTCATGCTTACCTCAGGCTGTGAGATCCCAGCCCTCTGGGCAGATCCTGAGTCTGGAGCAGGCTTGGCTTATACCAGGTGGGGCTGGGAGACCCCTCCAGCAGGTCCCTGGAGGCCATGGCAGATGTAGCTGGGCCCAGAGCATTACATGCCATGAATGGGAGGAGAGCCGCCGTTCTGTTTGATTTTCTCTCAGCTCTCCTGTCCTTCTCAGCAAAATTAGTTTGAGCCTCTGCCTCAAAACTTGCAAAGTGAGGCTCTGAAACCCCGTCAGTGAAGATATGCTCGCATTTGGTCTTTAAGGAAATAGCTCTGAGGGACTCTCGAGGCAGTCTGTGAAGGAGGCAGGCTGCCAAGACACCGTAGGGTGATGCTGGGGGAAGAATCATCACTGGTAACCCCGATTGCAGGGAGCGGTGGTTGGCGGAATCCCCTGGCGGGAGGCGCTGTCTTCCCAGAGCAGGAGTACAGTGTCCTCTGGGTGGAGAGAACTCAGCAAGGCTGAGGGTGGGGTTGCTCAGCCTGTGCAGATTCCCTTACTTACTTGTCCCGTCTCCCCACTTCCTAATTTTACTATAAAAGAGGGAAGGAACACGAAAGTCTGTTAGGGCAGAGAGGCTGTGGATTGCATTTAGTGTATCAAGAGTAAAACTCAAGAAGCTCTTTTTCAAATAATCTTTTAAATTTGGGGCTTATAAATGCAATCGTCCTGGTTTCTGAACTCCATGTAATAGATCTGGGGATGAAACAGAAGCTATCACGGTCTCAGGCCAAGCTGCCTCAACACCTTTAGGGGCTTCGCAAGCCTTTTTCGACTCTAAGATGTGAACCAGAAAGTGTTTTTGTGATTCAGGCTAGGATGTCTTACCAGTTGGCAAAAGAAAGATAATAAGTAAGTGTAGCCAAATAGTTCTCAGGAGCTGAATAATTGAATACTCTTAGCTATGTAAGAATGATCTCTTTACTGTTTAATGTTTCACTTCAGCTACTTAGAAGTATAATGCAGATTGATTGACCTCAAGTGATCTTCCTGCCTCAGCCTCCCGAGTCGTTGGGAGTACAGGCGTGCAACACCAGTCCTGGCTAATTTTTAAATTTTTTGTAGAGACAGGGTCTTGCTATGTTGTCCAGGCTATGAAGGTAATTTTATATATTATCTTAAATGATTTTGTGCATGAAACAGTTTCGATGGCATTTTGACTGAAACCTGTCACATGAGGTCAGGTGTGACATTTTCCACTTGTGGCTCAGAAAATTTTGGATTTTGGTGCCTTTCGGATTTTGGATTTTGGGATTAGGGTCGCTCAACCTGTATTAAAAAATAGTTGGGGTGCAGGGGAGTCTCTCTTCTTTCAGACTGGCACCTGCAGCTGTGACCACACGGTGGCGCTGCTATCCTGATGTTGGGAACATAAGAGAAAAAAGAAAAAAACCCAACTTCCTAAGGGCGAAAGAGTAAACTAGAAATATGAAATGAGGTTTAATACTGATTGCAGTAATTTTTAAAACTTTGCCTTTTACATAAAAAATTGTGGTAAAATACACACCACATAAAATTTAACCGTTTTTAAGTATGCGTTTCTGTTGCACGCGGCACATTCATTGCTGTGCAACCATCCATGGAACTCTTTTCATCTTTTTTTTTTTTTTTTTGGAGAGAGAATCTCGCTTTGTCGCCAGGCTGGAGTGCAGTGGTGTGATCTCGGCTCACTGCAACCTCCGCTTCCTGGGTTCAAGCGATTCTCCTGCCTCAGCCTCCTGAGTAGCTGGGACTACAGGCGCCCGCCACCACGCCCAGCTAATTTTTGTATTTTTAGTAGAGACGTGGTTTCACCATGTTGGCCAGGAAGGATGGTCTGGATTTCTTGATCTCGTGATCCGCCCTCCTCGGCCTCCCAAAGTGCTGGGATTACCGGCGTGAGCCACCGCGCCCGGCCAGAACTCTTTTCATCTTGTGAAACTGAGACTCTAAATCCATGGAACAGCAACTCCCCATTCCCCGCCCACCAACCCCTCCCCCTGGCGACCACACCATTCTACTTTTTGTCTCTATGAATCTGACTACCTTAGGTAGTGGGATTATGCAATATTTGTCCCTGTGTGACTGGGTTATTTCACTCAGCATAATGTCTTCAAGGTTTATCCATGGTGTAGCATGTGTCAGAATTTCTTTATTTTTAGTTTTTGAGATGAGCCTGGCTCTGTCGCCCAGGCTGGAATGCAGTGCCTCAATCATGGCTCACTGCAGCCTTGAACTCCTGGGCTCAAAAGATCCGCGTCTCGCTCTTGTTGCCCTGGCTGGAGCGCAATGGCGCAATCTCGGCTCACTGCAACCTCCACCTCCCGGGTTCAAGCGATTCTCCTGCCTCAGCCTTCTGAGTAGCTGGAATTACAGGCGCCCGCCACCGTGCCCGGCTAATTTTTTTTTTTTGTATTTTTAGTGGAGATGGGGTTTCGCCATGTTGGCCAGGCTGATCTCGAACTCTTGACCTCAGGCGATCCACCCACCTCAACCTCCCAAAGTGCTGGGATTACAGGCGTGAGCCACGGCACCCGGCCCAGCTTTATTTATTTTTATAAATTTATGGGAAACAAGTGTAATTTTGTGACATGCATAGATTGTGGAGTGGTGAACTCAGGGCTTTTAGAATCTCCATCACCCAAACAAATGTACCTTGTACCCATTCGGTAACTCCTCATCATCCAGGAATATTTAATTTGAAATTAATTTTATATGAAAACAAACAAACATATTAGATCCTATATACTTGTGGCAAGTGGCTCTCCTGGAGTTTGCTGTCTTTTGACAGGCAGGTGTGTAGGTGGAAACTCTGGAGGGTGAGGTTCTGGACTGAGGCTCTTCCAGGGGTGGCTGAGGCACCATTTCTCCAGAAAACCCTCCCTGGACACCTTATTTCTGGGGTCCCACTCACTCCATGCTTGTGAACCTGTATATTTTCCTCTTATTTATTTATTTATGTTTTGAGATGGAGTTTCGCTCTTGTTGCCCAGGCTGGAGTGCAATGGTGTCATCTCGGCTCACCGCTAACTCAGCCTCCCGGGTTCAAGCCATTCTCCTGCCTCAGTCTCCAGAGTAGCTGGGACTACAGGTGTGCGCCACCATGCCCGATTAACTTTTTTGTATTTTTAGTAGAGACGGGGTTTCACCATGTTGGCCACGCTGGTCTCGATCTCCTGACCTCGCCATCTGCCCGCCTCAGCCTCCCAAGGTGCTGGGATTACAAGCATGAGCCACCGTGCCCAGCCTTATTTTCCTCCTAACTGTGCTGTTCCTGAAGGCAGGGTCCCTTCATTTCTGTGCTTCTGGCACAGGGAAGAGCTGCCACGCTATGGGCATATGGTGCCCCCCCACCCCCACCCCCCAGGACCCTCTGGTTGTGCTTGGCTTCAAAGAACCTTGTGATCTTGTCGAGAAGACAGAAAACCATTTGGTTCTGATACAGGAGTCGGGCAGGGAAGTGCTGGGGAGAGAAGGGCGGGTCTCTGGCTAGGGCTTCACCCCCGGGCCTGTGCCCACGGACCTCGGCAAGGACAGGCATTTCTGTTTTCATGCCCAAATGTTGCATTTCCCAAGACCATCCTGGCCTGCCACACCCGTATCCTGTGCCTATAAAAGCCCTGAGACCCTAGCGGGCAGACACAGAAGTGGCTGGACGTCGAGGGGAACGCACGGGCATAGGAGTACACTGACAGGTGGATGCCGGCAGGTCACTGACCAGCAGAACGATTTGCGGAGTATGGCCGAGGTGGTTGGAGGAGGCCCGGGCACTGGGTGGCCCGACTCCGGGCCGGGGGAAACCGCCTTCCCACTCCATCCCCCTTCTGGCCACCCCATCCACCTCGCTGAGAACTACCACTCCATAAAAAACCTTACACTCATTCTCCAAGCCCACATGTGATCCCATTCTTCCAGTACACCAAGGCAGGAACCCCAGGACACAGAAAGCCCTCTGTGCTTGTGATGAGGCAGAAGGTCTAATAGAGCTGATGAACACAAGCCGCCTACAGACGGCAAAACTGAAAGAGCCCCCGTCACACACGCCCACTGGGGCTTCAGGAGCTGTAAGCATTCACCCCCAGATGCTGCCGTGGGGTTGGAGCCCCACAAGCTGCCCGTCAGCAGGCTCCCCCTAGAGGTTTGAGCAGTGGGATTCTGAAAAAACGAGCTATTCCCGCTGTCACACGCCCTGCGACGGGGACAAGGGAACCTTTCCTGTTTCCGTTCCTGTTTCCAGTCCCCAGTGCCCTTGTGGTATTTCAAAAGCATGCATGTCGGCCGCGCACGGTGGCTCACGCCTGTAATCCTAGCACTTTGGGAGGCCAAGGCGGGCGGATTGCCTGAGCTCAGGAGTTGGAGACCAGCCTGGGCAACACGGTGAAACATCGTCTCTACTAAAATACAAAAAAAAAAAAAAAAAAAAAAAAAAAATTAGCCAGGCGTGGCGGCGAGCGCCTGTAGTCCCAGCGACTCGGGAGGCTGAGACAGGAGAATCGCTTGAACCTGGGAGGTGGAGGTTGCAGTGAGCCGAGATCGCGCCACTGCACTCCAGCCTGGCAACAGAGCCAGACTCCGTCTCCAAAAATAAAAATAAAAATAAAAATAATAAATAAATAAATAAATAAAATAGAAAGCATGCATGTCCTTTCAATGTAGAGTATCCACACCACAAAAAATCCTGGGTTACATGGATTTTATAAACCAGGCAGGGGGAACGAGGCCTCTAGCAACAAGACCACAACAAACATTGCAGATGCAGATAAATGCAGAACACGGTAGATTAGGGAGGCGTGATCCACTCCAGGGGCTTTCCGGGACTGATAGAACACTGCTTTACAAAACAAAGAGAAGCAGAGTTTAGAAACCTGCAGGGTGTCACTGCTCGCAGGAAACACCAGTCCTTATGAGCTGTTGCAAAAGCTGGGGACTTTCTGGTGTTTGAGCTGCTGATTTCATGGTTTTAAATGGGGCTTCTTGTACCTCACCCTGCCTTTCCAGTGCACCCAGTGGAGACGGAGGGACAGTGGCCCTGGGGGCCAATGACTTGAGAAGGAGACACAGATCTGAGGCCAGCATAGCCAGGGGTCAGGGGTCAGGGACCAGCTGGGCAGGAGCAGGGATGTGTCTTCAGGACAATGGGGCTCATGGGATTGGGGTCAATGTGTGTGAGTGTGTGTTCCTGCCTGGATTGTTTATTCAGCTTCTGCCCTGGCATCTCACCTTAGGGTCTAACAGGGACCTCAAACACAAACACCGTCTATCCCAAATTGAGCTCTTTTTAGTTCCTCTTTTTCTTTTCTTTTCTTTCTTTCTTTCTTTCTTTTTTTTTTTTTTTTTTGAGATGGAGTTTTGCTCTTGTTGCCCAGGCTAGAGTGCAATAACGTGATCTCAGCTCACTGCAACCTCCGCCTCCTGGGTTCAAGGGATTCTCCTGCCTCAGCCTCCCGAGTAACTGGGATTACGGGCACGTGCCACCACGCCCGGCTAATTTTATATTTTTAGTAGAGATGGAGTTTCACCATGTTGGCCAGGCTGGTCTCGAACTCCTGACCTCAAGTGATCTGCCTCCCTGGGCCTCCCAAAGTGCCGGGATTACAGGCATGACCCACCGCGCCCGGCCCTTTCAGTTCCTCTTTCTACATTGCGCGTTTAACCCATTCCTGCCCCCTCTTCCCGCTCAGTTAACCCTGCTGTCACTTTCTCAGCAGCATACAAAGCTTCTTCAGGAAGCCTTCCTTTCCTCGCCCACAGGCCCTCCCCAGCCAGTGCTGAGTTGATGGTTCTTCCTCCAAGATTCACTATCTACCCTTTTGTTTTTTGAGACGGAGACTTCGCTCTTGGCGCCCAGGCTGGAGTGCAGTGGTACAATCTTGGCTCACTGCAACCTCCGCCTCCCGGGTTCAAGCGATTCTCCTGCCTCAGCCTCCTGTGTAGCTGTGATTACAGGCGCCTGCCACCATGCCCAGCTAATTTTTTTTTTTTTTTGTATTTTTAGTAGAGATGGGGTTTCTCCATGTTGGCCAGGCTGGTCTTGAACTCCTGACCTCAGAGGATCCACCCACCTCAGCCTCCCAAAGTGCTGGGGTTACAGGCGTGAGCCACCGCACCCTGACATGATCTGCTTTTAATCTGACATCTTCTCACTGTTGTCACAGCCACCTCCAGTCCCAAACACCATCGTCATCTCTCTTTTGGGACTTTGGCAACAACATCCCCTGCCAACTCTCACCCCTAAAGGTTCATCCTCATACAGCAGCCTGAAGGTGACTTTAAAAAATGTAATCAGGCTATGTGTCGCCTTGTTTAACTCATCAATAATTCCCTATTTCACAGAGAAGAAAACTCTTCCGGCCTTCCATGCCCTGGAGGTCCCCGTGATCCAGCCCCTGCCTCCCTCTCTGGCCCCATCCTCTGCCTCCTCTGCTTTCACTCACTGGCCTGCTCCCTCTTCCCCAGCACATACCTGCTGTGTAATATGTGAGTGAATGAGCCAGAGACAGGCAGAGAGAGAGCCTGTGGAGGAGGGAACAGCCGAAGTACGGAATGAGGCAGATAAACACAGGAAGACAGAGACCAGGGGAAGTGGAAACAGATGGCAGAGAGGCCAGGGAATTCTCTCGTGATTTGGGGAACCCCACTTTCTCCAGGGTCCCACCCCTTGTCTTTGTTAGAATTGGGCCTGGGACAGGCTGCTAGTGGGGTTGGGGCTGATGGAGGTGTGGGAGCCGGGAGCTGGGTTCAGGACTGAGTTCTGGACCAGGCTGGAGATGGGCCGGGGTAGGAACTGGGAATTCGTCCCTTCCCAGGAGTTGGCTCTCCTGGGCTCCGCATTTTTGTGATTGGGGGTGGGGAGGGGGGCTGTCTAGGAGGGTTGGTGTTTCCCCTTTCTCTCACATCTTTTTTGCTTCCTGCTTTTGAAGTTCCCCAAATTGTTGGTGTCTCCAAATTCCCAACCAGGAACTGATGCTTCTGCTCCCATCCGCCAGCCCGAGCTGCAGGAAGCTGGGGCCTTCCTCTGGGGCTCAGGTGCCAGGTTCTCCAGCCCGCCCATATTGACTCCTGTCATTCCCCAGGGGAGTAAATATAAGTCAAGCACCTGAAGCTCAGGGGGAGGGAAGCAGAGCTTTTTCTGCAGCAACTGGAGGAAGTTAAAATGAGTAAAGGAATTGATTTTCTTTTCTTTTTTCTTTTTTTTTTTTTTGAGATGGAGTCTTGCTCTGTTGCCAGGCTGGAGTGCAGTGGCACAATCTCGGCTCACTGCAACCTCCGCCTCCCGGGTTCAAGCGACTCTCCTGCCTCAGCCTCCCGAGTAGCTAGGATTACAAGCGCGCATCACCACACCCAGCTAATTTTTGTATTTTTAGTAGAGACGGGGTTTCACCACATTGGCCAGGATGGTCTTGATCTCCTGACCTCGTGATCCACCCACCTTGGCATCTCAAAGTGTTGGGATTACAGGCGTGAGCCACAGTGCCCAGCCAGTAATTGATTTTCTTTGAGTACCTACCATGAGAGTTAAGGAATTGATTTTCACTGAGCACCTACAATGTGAGGGCTTTGCTTATACAAAAAAAAAAAAAAAAAAAAAAAAGGCTCAGTGTTAGACACTTTGCCTTACATTAACCTGTTTAATACCAACAAGAACCGAGTGAGGCAGGTATTATTATACCCATTTCCAGCTGAAGAAACTGAATATCAGAAACCTTGAGTCACTTATCCAAGGTTCCCTTATGGCTGGTAAGTGGCAGAACCAGAATTCAAGATCACGTTTGATTCTGAAGGCCCTGCCTGGCTTCCCACAGGGAGTCACTTTTACATGCGTCTGACTCTTTTTTTTTTCTGGGTTGGTGCTGGGCTTGGACATTGAGTGGTGAGTAAGGTAGTTCCTGAGGTCAGGGAGCTGGCAGTCCAGACAGGGAGAGGGGCACAAAGCAGGAGCTGAGGCCATCAGTGCCTTCATGCAACACAGATTTATGGGGACAGACCAAGCACAGGTACCTTTCTAGGTGCTGGGGATTTAGGACTGAGTGAGCCTAAGTCTCCATGCCTGGCTGTATGTGCAGAAAGATAATAACCGAAATACATAACATTCATTATCAAATGGCGATGAGTGCTGTGGAGAAAAACAGAGCAAGGAGGAAAGAGGAGAGGGGTGTGGTGGGGGTGCACAGTCTCCTGATGTGGGGACACGGGTAGCCGGGGCATGAAGCCCACCCTCTTAGCCTCTGGGCCTCTCAGACTGGTGCCGGGGGCCTGTCCATGTTTGCCCTGTCCACTTGCCTGGTGAAAGGGGGGTCCGGGGTGGCGCTGCTGCAGGTGGTCTTGGCATGGGTGGGGCGCTGTCTCCGGTGGCCTGCCTTGGACCCTGCCATTTGGCATGTGGACCCTAAAGTCAAGGAGAGCTTTTCATGTTCATGCTGGTATTTGTGTACTGAATGAACTGTTTATCATTTTGTTTCCTTAAAGAAATTGTCAGTTTGTTAAAGTACATTTTAAATCTAATTTTTCCTTAAACTTCTTGTAAGTTCAGCTTATAAAAGTAGTTATTCTTTTTTTTTTCGAGACAGAGTCTCACTCTGTCACCCAGGCTGGAGTGCAATGGCATAACCTCAGCTCACTGCAACCTCCGCCTCCTGGGTTCAAGCGATTCTCCTGCCTCAGCCTTCAGAGTAGCTGGGACTACAGGCAAGTGCCACCACGCCAGGCTAACTTTTTGTATTTTTATTAGAGACTGGGTTTCACCATGTTGTCCAGGCTGGTCTCGAACTCCTGACCTCAGGGGATCCACCCATCTCGGCCTCCCAAAGTGCTGGGATTACAGGTGTGAGGCACCGTGCCTGGCCGTAATTATTCTTTTAATAAATTGTGCTAAATAAGAGCCACCGACTTTACCTTCTCACTGATTATTGCATAATAATGAAAGTCAAAGACACGAAACTCTCTTAAATAATCAGCTTCATTCACAATGCAGTTAAATGCCTAGAAACATTTTTAAACTGAGTTTACACATTTGGTGTATTTTAAGGATTTGATTTTAACAATCAAAAACTAAGTAAATAAGGCAAATTAATATTCATAAGGAATCTCAAGGACTCTTCAACATTCCAACATTGTTTACAAACCTAATCAAATTATTTCATACATTTCAACTGAAAAAGAAAGCACGAGTCTAAAATCAAGTACTTCATTTTGTATTTTAATTTGCTATCACAGGCTAATTTCAAATCTTTTAGTATGCTGAATTTTCTTACACATTATAATACCAAATATAGATTATCTTAAATTTGGCACAAATGTATTAATACTACATGTTGGATTTACTTTGTTGCCTATATATTTAGTTTCAAACCTTCCTAGGTCTGGAATACACTTTCTTGAGGGAAAAGCATTCGCATTCTGTATCCCCTGGGGTTGCCAGGCGTTGCCTGGGGCTGCTTGCTGGACAGAGTTCTGACACTGAATGTATGCGGTCTGGGCTGCTCGTCACTAGTATAATTTTCCTGGAGCCACAGGGAGAAGCTCTCTATCCCGTTCTAGTTGCTAAATCCATGCTCTCCAGATGGGATTGAACTCACAGCCCATATTTCTTGGGTTCTATATTTTTCCATATTCCATATATTTTTTTTTGGTTGACCTGAATAGTTGGAATACTGAACCACCACTATGGTTGCAACTAAGTTCCTTCACTTTCCTGCTGGGGTGAACACAGAATTCTTTTTTTTTTTAACATTTTATTATTATTATACTTTAAGTTTTAGGGTACATGTGCACAACATGCAGGTTTGTTACATGTGTATACATGTGCCATGTTGGTGTGCTGCACCCCTTAACTCGTCATTTAGCATTAGGTATATCTCCTAATGCTATCCCTCCCCCCTCCCCCCACCCCACAACAGTCCCCGGAGTGTGATGTTCCCCTTCCTGTGTCCATGTGTTCTCATTGTTCAATTCCCACCTATGAGTGAGAACATGCCGTGTTTGGTTTTTTGTACTTGCGATAGTTTGCTGAGAATGATGGTTTCCAGTTTCATCCATGTCCCTACAAAGGACATGAACTCATCATTTTTTATGGCTGCATAGTATTCCATGGTGTATATGTGCCACATTTTCTTAATCCAGTCTATCATTGTTGGACATTTAGGCTGGTTCCAAGTCTTTGCTATTGTGAATAATGCCGCTATAAACATACGTGTGCATGTGTCTTTATAGCAGCATGATTTATAGTCCTTTGGGTATATACCCAGTAATGGGATGGCTGGGTCAAATGGTATTTCTAGTTCTAGATCCCTGAGGAATCGCCACACTGACTTCCACAATGGTTGAACTAGTTTACAGTCCCACCAACAACACAGAATTCTTTACCATTTATTCAGTGTGAGCAGGATCCAACTCTACCAGGCATTTATGATTGACTTGTGTGGATGACCTTATGGGGGAAATGCATTCTTTTCAGCTCCTACAGTGGTCTCCACCTGTCCACCTCCTGGGTGGGTTCCTTTGGCTCAACCTTTTTCCTTCTTGTAGGGACCAGCCCCACAGGGTCTGTGGGTCTCTCCCCGTGTGCGGTGACAAGAGAGTGTAGAAATAAAGACACAAGACAAAGAGATAAAAGAAAAGACAGCTGGGCCCGGGGGACCACTACCACCAATGCGTGGAGACTGGTAGTGGCCCCGAATGTCTGGCTGCGCTGTTATTTATTGGATACGAAGCAAAAGGGGCAGGGTAAAGAGTATGAGTCATCTCCAATGATAGGTAAGGTCACGTGGGTCACGTGTCCACTGGACAGGGGGCCCTTCCCTGCCTGGCAGCCGAGGCAGAGAGGGAGAGGAGACAGAGAGAAAGACAGCTTATGCCATTATTTCTGCACGTCAGAGACTTTTAGTACTTTCACTAATTGACTACTGCTATCTAGAAGGCAGAGCCAGGTGTACAGGATGGAACATGAAGGCGGACTAGGAGCGTGACCACTGAAGCACAGCATCACAGGGAGACTCTGGTTAGGCCTCCGGATAACTGCGGGCGGGCCTGACTAATGTCAGGCCCTCCACAAGAGATGGAGGAGCAGAGTCTTCTCTAAACTCCCCCGGGGAAAGGGAGCCTCCCTTTCCCGGTCTGCTAAGTAGCGGGTGTTGTTCCTTGACACTTTTTGCTACCGCTAGACCACGGTCCGCCTGGCAACGGGTGTCTTCCCAGACGCTGGCATCACCGCTAGACCAAGGAACCCTCTGGTGGCCCTGTCTGGGCATAACAGAAGGCTTGCACTCTTATCTTCTGGTCACTTCTCACTGTGTCCCCTCAGCTCCTATCTCTGTATGGCCTGGTTTTTCCTAGGTTATGATTATAGAGCAAGGATTATTATAATATTGGAATAAAGAGTAATTGCTACAAACTAATGATTATTGATATTCATATATAATCATATCTAAGATCTATATCTGGTATAACTATTCTTGTTTTATATTTTATTATACTGGAACAGCTCGTGTCCTCGGTCTCTTGCCTCAGCGCCTGGGTGGCTTGCTGCCTACACTTCTGGGGTCGCACAGGACTTTCCCTTGGATCACTCACGCTTTGCTTTCACACTGCAAGGTTACAGGAACTCTTGAAGATCTCTTCCAGTCTTCCCAGAGACTGTGGGTTGCTGAGCAGGAACACCCTTCACCTTAGCTAGGGTTGGCTCTTTCAGGCTTTGTTTGAGCAAGGTAATTCTGAGGTCCTTGGCCCTCAGAGAACTCCAGTTAGGACACAACATTCCCTTTACCTATTTCTTTTTTTTCTTTTTTTTTTAGATGGAGTCTGGCTGTCACCCAGGCTGGAGTGCAGTGGCACAATCTCAGCTCACTACAACCTCCGCCTCCTGGGTTCAAGCAATCCTCCTGCCTCAGCCTCCCAAGTAGCTGAGACTACAGGCGTGCACCACCATGCCCAGCTAATTTTTGTATTTTTAGTAGAGAAGGGGTTTCACCATTTTGGCCAGGCTGGTCTCGAACTCCTGACCTCAAGTGATCCACCCACCTCAGCCTCCCAAAGTGCTGGGATTACAGGCGTGTGCCACGGACAAAGTTGTTAACGTGTAGTGTCTGGTTTCACTCTGAGATTCCTGGAAGCTAAAATGAAAAAGGAAACACAATTACGGGATGCTTATTATCAGAGGGGAAAAAACGCCCTGGCTTTATTTGGGGGAACTAAGAGAATATGAAGTGTGAATTTTTTTTTTTTTGAGCTGGAGTCTTGCTCTGTCGCCCAGGCTGGAGTGCGGTGGCACAATCTCGGCTCACTGCAAGCTCCGCCTCCTGGGTTCACGCCATTCTCCTGCCTCAGCCTCCCAAGTAGCTGGGACTACAGGCACCCACCACCACGCCCGGCTAATTTTTTGTTTTCATATTTTTAGTAGAGACGGGGTTTCACCATGTTAGCCAGGATGGTCTCGATCTCCTGACCTTGTGATCCGCCCGCCACCACGCCCGGCTAATTTTATTTTGTATTTTTAGTAGAGACGGGGTTTTGCTGTGTTAGCCAGGATGGTCTCGGAAGTGTGAGTGTTATGAGTTGCTGCTGATGCTTGGAGCAGTGAAGGCCCCTGATACTTTCTGATGAGCATGAGCTAATGAATGGTGTTGTGTTTGTTTCAGAAACTAGAGGCCAGTTTCTAGATGAAGGCATTGGAATAGGAAACAAAGGCTTCATACAGCTTGGAGAAATGTTTTCTTTGTATTTATGTATCTATGTATCTGTCTATGTATTTATTTATATCTTTTAGAGACAGGGTCTTGCTTTGTCACCCAGGCTGGAGTGCAGTGGTGCAATCACGGCTCACTGCGCCTTGACCTCCTAAGCTCGAATGAGATGTTTTTTGAGATAGAGTCTTGCTCTGTCACCAGGCTGGAGTGCAGTGGCACCATCTTGGCTCACTGCAAACTCTACCTCCCGGGTTCAAGCAATTCCTCTGCCTCAGTGTCTCGAGCAGCTGGGATTACAGGCACCTGCCACTACGCCTGGCTAATTTTTTTTTTTTTTCAGTAGAGATGGGTTCACCATGTTGGCCAGGCTGGTCTCAAACTCCTGACCTCAGGTGATCCGCCCACCTCGGCCTCCCAAAGTGTTGGGATTACAGGGATGAGCCACTGCGCCCGGCCTGTTCTCTGGATTTATGTGGCAATATAAGAGGGAGCTGGGGCAGCGACTTGTCCTCTATGACATTTTGCTCTTGTAGTTTGCAGCCAAGCTTGTAGCACTTCTGCCTTCTTTAGAGTGTGCCCTGCTAAGGGGAGCCACAGTACTGCAGAGGCCTCGGCTCACTCTGGACCTGGCATCTGAGGCACTTCTTGCAGACCTCAATACCATTGAACTTGGCACCCCAAATAGCCCTGTCCCCCGCTCACGCCACCTGAACAGGGTAGGGATATTTGTGGCATTCCCTGGGGGTCCTGTTTGTTCCACACATAGGGCTCCTTCTGCCTCCCTCCACAACAGAGTCCCGGGCTGTTCTGCCCTTCGCTCACCCTTATCCACACTGCACCTTGCAGAGATGCCTCAGAGTTTGTGGCATGTGAGGGAAATCTTTTCTTAATTTCCAATAGTTATATGAATATTTTCTCTATTGAATTATTACTACTGTAATAATAGGGAACATATTGGGAAGTTGTGTGGAGAGAATGTATTAGTCAGGGTTCTCTAGAGGGACATACTAATAGGATAGATGTATATATGAAAGGGAGTTTATCAAGGAGTATTGACTCACACGAACATAAAGAGAAGTCCCACAATAGGGTGTCTGCAAGCTGAGAAGCAAGGAAGCCAGTCTAAGTCCCCAAATCTCCAAAGTAGGGAAGCTGACAATGCAGCCTTCAGTCTTTGGCCGAAGGCCTGAGGGCCCCTGGCAAACCACTGGTCCAAGAGTCCAAAAGCTGAAGAACTTGGAGTCCGATGTTCCAGCACGGGGCACAGATGGAGGCCGGAAGACTCAGCCAGTCTAGTCCTTCCATGTTCCTCTGCCTACATTTATCCTACCTGAGATGGGAGCTGATTAGACAGTGCTCACCCAGGTTGAGGGCAGGCTGCCTCTCCCTGTCCACTGACTCAAATGTTAATCTCCTTTGGCAACACCCTCACAGACACACCCAGGAACAATACTTTGCATCCTTCAATCCAGTCAAGTTGACACTCAGTAGTAACCATCACAGGGAAATACACAGGCTCAGGTATTCATCCTGGACTGGATGACGCCCTCCTTGTCTTCCTCTTGCCTCTCTGGCTGCACCTTCCCCTTCTCCTTTCCAGGTCCATGTGGGTGTTTTTCAGGCTCTGTTCTAGACCCTTCTCTCCGCTTCCCTGGCTTTGATTGCCTTTGTTGGTTCCCAGTCTCCGGCCCATCTATGTCCAACTGCCTTCTAGCCAGCTCCACCCGAATGCACCAACAGCACAAGAAACCCATGTCCCAAACAAAACTCCGCGACTCCTTGCCCTGCTGGCAACCAGCTCTCCCACGGGCTCCTTGGCCGATGAGTGGCTTCACCAGCCACCTGCTTGTTTCACCCCGAAAACTGGCTCTCCCGGGTTCCCCTCTCCTCTGCTTCCCACAGCCGATGTTTACAATGGTTGCTGCTAAGTCCACGCCTCTCCTGTGGTTGGGCTTCCGAGGGTTCTTGCTAACATCCTTTAGAATACAGGGACAGGGGCTGAGTGCGGTGGCTCACGCCTGTAATCCCAGAACTTTGGGGGCCGAGGCAGGTGGATCACCTGAGGTCAAGAGTTCCAGACCAGCCTGGCCAACGTCGCCAAACCCCATCTCTACTAAAAATACAAAAATTAGCTGGGTGTGGTGGCAGGTGCCTGTAGTCCCAGCTACTTGGGAGGCTGAGGCAGGAGAATCGCTTGAACCTGGGAGGAGGAGGTTGCAGTCACCTGAGATCCTGCCACTGCATGCCAGCCTGGGCGACAGAGCGAGATTCCATCTTAAATAAATAAATAAAAATATAATACAGAGGCAGGAAAGTACAATTACTGGTCAGCTTTCCTCGAACTAGATCCCTCCCAATGCCAGGTGACCATTGGACAAAGTGGAGAGGGGATTTATTAATATTCTACTGCTTATTTCCCAAGATGAGGATTAGCTCTTAGCCACTGCTGTCTTCCAAATGCAGTTACATCAGCATCTTTAGTAAAAAAACGAAAATGAAACGTTCACATTACATGTCTATGTAAATGTTATGTCCTGCAGAACCTAGTACTCTATTGTCATAACATTTCTCTTCTTGCATAGTTTCTTTTGCTTTTACTGGAGATATGCCAGTTATTCTAATCTTGCAATGTTTTCCTTAGGGCAGTTTTCTATTTCTTAAAATAAAAACTCTCTAAAATAAGATTCTTCTTTCTCAGGAGGACTTCCTTTGTGGCGTTCTTAGCCACAGTCAGTGTCTTGAGTGTTAACTTAATTCGAATTATTTGCTAAGTGTTATTCTAGCAGACTTACAAATCCCAGTTATTCCATCATGCCCATAGGAGAAGAGGAAAGGGCCAGTGCCCCTCTTCTGATTTTTAAACCGGCCCTATAGTTCCACAGACAGTTTTGGATAAACATAGAACTTGACCCTTCTGCCGTTAAAGCTTGAAACTCATATATATATATATGTTTATTTTTTTATTTTTTGAGATGGAGTCTTGCTCTGTTGCCCAGTCTGCAGTAGGGTGGCGTGATCTTGGCTCACCACAACCTCTGCCTCCCAGGTTCAAGTGATTCTCCTGCCTCAGCCTCCCGAGTAGCTGGGATTACAGGCGCCCACCACCACGCTCGGCTAATCTTTGTATTTTTAGTAGAGACGGGGTTTCACCCTGTTGGTTAGGCTAGTCTTGAACTCCTGACCTCGTGATCCACCGGCCTTGGCCTCCCAAAGTGCTGGGATTACAGGTGTGGGCCACTGTGCCCGGACGAAACTTATATTTGTTTGATTTGAGTTCCTTCCTCAGGAAAGTACCTTCAGTCCTCTCAAAAACGTATAGTAGGTCAGGAGTTCAAGACCAGCCTGACCAACAAGGTAAAACCCTGTCTCTACTAAAAATACAAAATTACCCGGGCGTGGTGGCGGGTGCCTGTAATCCCAGCTACTCAGGAGGCTGAGGCAGGAGAATTGCTTGAACCCAGGAGGCAGAGGTTGTGGTGAGCTGAGATCGTGCCACTGCACTCCAGCCTGGGTGACAGAGTAAGACTCCGTCTCAGAAAAAAAAAAGAAATGTATGGAAGAACTGAAACTCACCAGATCACGCACCAAATGCCTCCTTGCACCTCCCTAGTTCCTGTTTTCTGACACATTGTTACATTTCTTCCCTGCTATATAACCCCTGGTTTTAGTCAGTCCAGGAGATGGATTTGAGACAGCTGCCATCTCTTTGGCTGCAGCACCTGATTTAAAGCCTTCTTCCTTGGCACTACTCATCATCTCAGTGATTGGCTTTCTGTGTGCAGCAAAGCCGCAGGACTTAGACTGAACTCCTGATGTTTCGCTAACAATTTCTTTTTTTTGAGACAGAGTCTGGCTCTTTTCTGCCAGGCTGGAGTGTAGTGGCGCGATCTCGGCTCACTGCAATCTCTGCCTCCCGGGTTCAAGTGATTCTCCTGCCTCAGCCTCCCGAGTAGCTGGGACTACAGACACCCGCTACCACGCCTGGCTAATTTTTGGTATTTCTAGTAGAGTCAGGGTTTCACCGTGTTAGCCAGGATGGTCTCGATCTCCTGACCTCGTGATCCGCCCACCTCTGCCTCCCAAAGTGTTGGGATTACAGGCGTGAGCCACCACGCCCGGCCGAAAGTCAGCAGGAATTATAAGTGCCCACCTAGGTTTCCACAGTACATGAGAGAACAAGATGGGGAGTTAGTAAACGTTCTCACTTTGACGGCTTATCATAGGAGAGTCTCTACTGCTTCCTTAAACTCATGTTCTTTTTTTTTTTTTTAAAGACCGAGTTTCGCTCTTGTTGCCCAAGCTGGAGTGCAATGGCGCAATCTTGGCTCACCGCAACCTCTGCCTCCCGGGTTCAAGCGATTCTCCTGGCTCAGCTTCCTGAGTAGCTGGGATTACAGGCACCCACCACCACACCCAGCTAATTTTGTATTTTTAGTAGAGACAGGATTTCTCCATGTTGGTCAGGCTGATCTTGAATTCCCCACCTCAGGTGATCTGCCCGCCTTGGCCTCCCAAAGTGCTGGGATTACAGGCGAGAGCCACCATGCCCAGACCTTAAACTCATGTTCTTTATGGTGACTTGCATTTCCAAGGCCAGGTTCTGGAATTTCACCAGTTTGCATTATAAGAAAAAAAGTCAGCCTGTAGGCAAAAAATACAGAAAAAGCTGAATAAGATTTTCTTTCCTAATAATGAAAAAGGCTTATACTGAGATGTTCTTCTACATGTGTTGTTTTTGGATAATTTCCTCACTTTCTGGGGTAATTCCTCACATGGGAGTAGGAGATAAATAGTCTGAGAACTGGAATATCTGACAGTTCTGTAGCCTCCCCTCTCGTGCCATGGATCATTTGAGTCTACAATTCTAGGTTGAAAAAAATTTTCCTTGGAAGTTTGAAGGCATCATCCTGTTGTCTCTTCGTGTTCAATATAACAGCTGAAAAATGAAATCCATTCTGATTCTTGTTTCTTTGTAGGTGATTTACTCCCACCCCTGGTAGTTTTTGGAATTTTCTGTTTATCCCTGGTATTCTGAAATTTCATGGTGACACGCTTTGGGTCATTTTTGAATGAATGTGCTCGGCTGGGCTATTACTAGAATACCTAAATCTGGAGACTTATCCTTTTTAATTCTAAGTACCAGCCTTGTATTCTTTCTTTCATCTTTTTCTTCCTTTTCTTCCTCTTATTTATCTTCTAGAACTTCTATTAATTGGATGTTGGTTCTTTGAACATATTGTTTGTGTTATTTGGGGAGGTTTTATGGGGCTAATAAAAAAAAGAACCCTATCTTTTCCTCTTAAGTTTGAAATCAATTGAGAGCCAAGACACAGTAGACAGATGAGCGGATATCAAAATGTTAGCATAATTACTGATAAGCAACAAGGAGGATTTGACTTAAAACCTTAGATCAAAAAACCTTGTAATTAGTTCATCCAATAATTAAGCAGATGTATCCACCCAGTCACAGGCAGAGGAGGGCAAAGCAGGAGCAGCTCTGTGCCGCCTGGCAGAGAGTAGAATACAAGGTGTGCTTCTTGTGGGCAGAAAGACACCAAAGGGAGCCCCCCCAAGGGGCGGAGCCAAGCATGCCAATCAGTCAGTTTCCTCCCCTGAGGAAGAGTGGGTTAAGAAGGGGAGTCTGGGCGGGGCGCGGTGGCTCATGCCTGTAATCCCAGCGCTTTGGGAGGCCGAAGCGTGCGGATCACTTGAGGTCAGGAGTTCGAGACGAGCCTGGCCAACATGGTGAAACCCCATCTCTGCTAAAAATACAAAAATTAGCTGGGTGTGGTGGTGAGTGCCTGTAATCCCAGCTACTCAGGCGGCTGAGGCAGAAGAATCACTTGAACCCGGGAGGCGGAGGTTGCAGTGAGCCGAGATCGCGGCCACCGCACTCTAGCCTGGGCAACAAGAAGGAAACTCTGTCTCAAAAAAAAAAAGAAAGAAAGAAAAAAAAGAGAGAAAGGGAGTCTGGAGATTGTCTAGTTTCCCTAGTGGGAAATATATTCAGTAGCATGAGACCAGAGAAAAAATAATTTCTCCCAATTTAACTTTTATCATTTAAAAAAAAAAAACCTATGTCTTTTTTTTTTCCTGGAAGATTTTCTAAATTTTATGTTTCAGAGCTTCTATTAATTTTTCTGGAGTTAACAACATGTATATATTTTTTAACTTTCAAAAGGTCTCGTTTTCTGAACAAGTAGAACATACAGGAAATTCTGGCTTATCAACAAAGTGAATTCAGGAAAGCCAATAGAAAAACTGGTAAAGGATATGAAAAGGCAATTCATGCAGGAGGAAACCCAAATGATTAATAAATCGATGAAGAAATGTTCAAACCCACTGTTAGCCAGAAATGCAAAATAAAAGAACAAGGATATGGCATCAGCTTGGCAACAATTGCGATGTTAATAATATCAAGCGACAAAGCCAAAAAGAGAACCCTCGTATACTGCTGGTGGGAGTGTGAACTGGCAGAGCCATTCTGGAAAACAGTCTGGCAGTCCTGAGTGGAATTAGGTATGGCAATACTCTGCGAATGAGCAATACCATTCGGGGATATAGTTTCCTTCCTTCCTTCCTTCCTTCCTTCCTTCCTTCCTTCCTTCCTTCCTTCCTTCCTTCCTTCCTCCCTCCTTTCCTTCGTTTCTCTTTTCTTTTCTTTCATTCCTTTTTTTTTTTTTTTTTTTTTTTTGAGAAAGGGTCTTGCTGTTGCCCAGGCTGGAATGCTGTGGTGCGATCATAGTTCACTGCAGCCTTGAACTCCTGGCCTCAAGTGATCCTCCCAACTCCAGCTTCCCAAGGTGTTGGGATTACAGGCCTGAGCCACCATACCTGGCCTGGATACAGTTTCAAGAGAAATTCTCACCTAGGTCCACATGGGAACACGATGAGGACATCAGTCGTCATGTTAATTGTGATAGTTGTTGGCAACAACCTGAGTTCATTATTAGGGGAAATAAACTGTGATGGATACACACCATTGAATACTGTGCAGCAGTTCATAGCAACAAACCAGATAAACAAATAGCAATGTAACAATCCATTGTAACAAATAGCAATACAAATAGCTCTAAAAAATTTCTTGTTGAGTGAAAAAGATCAGAAACAAATGAGATATATGAAAGTTCTGTGTATGTAAATACAGAACAGATAGACATGCAAACCCCATCACATATTTTATAAGGGTACCTACATATTTAGTAATATATATTGTTTCAGCTATCTACCGATGCATAATAAACCACCCCAAAGCTCCAGTGGCTTAAACCAACTGTTTTTTCTTAAGATTCTCTGGGTCAGAAATTTGGGCAGGGCTAGGCTGGGCGGTCCACGGGGTATTGGTTGGAGTGAAACACTTGGATACAATCAGCTGGTGACTGGGCTGCCCTGGAAACTCCCAGAAGACTTTGCTCACATGTCTGGGGCCTCAGTGCACCTCTGTGTGGCCTCTTTCTCTCTCCATGTGCTGTCTTATCCCCCAGGACTCTCTCTGGCAGGATAGTTGGACTTCCTCATAGCATGGTGACTGACTTCCAAGATTGAAAACTGAAGCTACCAGGTTTCTTGAGGTCCAGGCCCAGAACTGGCAGAGTGTCATTTCTAGTGCTTTCTGTTGGTCAAGGCAAGTCACAGGGCCAGCCCAGACTCAAGGGGAGGGGAAACAGACTCTACCCCTGGCTGAGTGGTGTGACTTGCACATGTGGTGAGGGGAGAAATTGATGGGCACCATCTGTGGGGACTGTCAGGGCACTCAGACTTCTGGCTGCCTATAGAGAGTAGAGAGTATAGAATTAGTGAGGGGAAACAGGATGGGAGCTAGGGAAGAACGAAACAGGACAAAGGTTTAGCTCAGACCTCTGAGGAAGACCTAGTGTCATGAAGTAAGGAATATGACCAATCTAACCTTTGTGTCTGAGGTACAAATAAACCCCAAATCAAAATCAACCAAATAAGGCCGGGCGCGATGGCTCACGCCTATAATCCCAGCACTTTGGGAGTTTGAGATGGGCGGATCACCTGAGGTCAGGAGTTCAAGACCAGCCTGGCCAACATGGTGAAAATACAAATAATTAGCCGGGCGTGGTGGTGCATGCCTGTAATCCCAGCTACTCAGGAGGCTGAGGCAGGAGAATCACTTGAACCCGGGAGGTGGAGGTTGCAGTGAGCTGAGATCGCGCCATTGCATTCCAGCCTGGGTGACAAGAGTGAAACTCTGTCTCAAAAAAAAAAAAAAAAAAAATCAATCAAAGAA
This sequence comes from Homo sapiens, assembly GCF_000001405.40. Lineage (NCBI taxonomy): Eukaryota > Metazoa > Chordata > Mammalia > Primates > Hominidae > Homo > Homo sapiens. Next base: position 7,116,857 of record NC_000017.11, on the reverse strand, counting down.
AATAGGATTCCATAACCCAAAACAGAAAACCTCCAACAATATGGAAACTTCAGAAATAGTCCAAGTACATGTTAACTTCTAAGTTAAAATGATTTTCAAATAGGGAGAAAGAGAAGGACGCAGATGAGTCTGGCTTTCTCTGTCCCTTCTCTCCCTGTAGTGCCGTGAGTGGGGGTGTAAGTGACAAGCCCTGAAACGTGGAATTGGTTCAGTCAAAGGGGTGGCCAATGAGGATGGCCCCATCCCTGGTTGGCAGTTGGCAAAGCTTGACATGCAGTAGACAATCCATCTGTGAAGCTCTTACCTGTATCTCAGGACTAAATCCACATGCCCCTTAAGATGGGGGCTTCACAGCAGTGTTGTTCAGACTTTGAGTTGTGACCCATTAATGGACTGGGAAACTCAACAGAAGGCACGTAGTAAGGTGAGCATTGTCCCATCAAACTTTAGTGTCAACCGTGTATTTCCAAACGCATTATTCTATTCACTCACTCACTCAGTAGATACTTGTTGAGCAGCTACTGTGTGGCAGGCACTGGGGATCCAGGAGAAAGTAACACATACAAATGCACCTGTGTGTGCGGGTGCTTGTGTGTATGTTCTGGATCACAGCATGAAATTCGTCTCTCGCTGTGGGCTGCAGTCAGAGAGCCCAGCGGCTGCTGCTGCCTGGTGGCTGGGTGGGAATGTCAGGGTACTGGGGGGGTGGCTACTTCCCATGTGGGTCAGCAAGTTACAAGAACAGAAAAGGCCTCTGTTTGAATTCCTTTTCGGCACCCGGGGAAACGAGCAGCTTTATAAGAAACCCTGCCCGTAGCCATCCGCCCAAGTTTGGTGAGGGTCAGAAAATCATGCACAAAAACTGTGTTTTCTTTCCCGAGCTATTGTTAGCGCAAGTGTAGACAGTCAGCCACGTTCCTTGCTTCATGGAAGCCAGTCTTCCTCGTAGGACCATGAAGACCTTTTCTTTTCTTTTTCTTTCTTTCTTTTTTTTTTCTTTGAGATGGAGTTTCTCTCTTGTTGCCCAGGCTGGAGTGCAATGGCGCAATCTTGGCTAATGCAACCTCCGCCTCCCAGGTTCAATCGATTCTCCTGCCTCAGCGTCCTGAGTAGCTGGGATTACAGGCCCCTGCCACCACGCCCGGCTAATTTTTGTATTTTAGTAGAGACAGAGTTTCACCATGTTGGCCAGGCTGGTCTCGAACTCCTGACCTCAGGTGATCCACCCACGTCGGCTTCCCAAAATGCTGGGATTACAGGCGTGAGCCACCGTGCCCGGCCAGACCTTTTGTTATGATGTTATTTTCCCCTCTTTACTCCATTTTGCTTTGCCAGTTTCTCTACTCACCTGGGCCACCACCTAGAGCAAGTTGCCTCATCTCTCCGAGGCTCCGCTTCCGAACCCTGTGAAATGGGAGTAACAGAAGTCCTGCCTCGTGGGGGTGTTGTGCTGTGATAAATGAAGAAACACCTTGGAGAATTTAGGGCAGTGGCTGGGCCTGAGGACAGTGTTTGTGTTGCCTGGGCTGGGGCAGGGTCTGGGCCGGACGGGGCTCTCTGAGGTTGGATTCCTCCTGCGAGGAGAGCTGTTTTTCTGCAAAGCCCCTTCCTCCTCCTGCTGAAGCTTCTGGATTTGAGAGGCTTTACTCTCCAGGAGAGTGAAGCGAGTTGGGCCAGAGCTGAGAGTCTGGTGGCCGAGCCCACAGGAAGCTGGGGTCTGTGGTTCAGATGCCGGATTGGGCAAGAGTAGAGAACTGGTCGCTGTGATCCTGGTCAGGGATATTTGGAGACACCCACAGTTCTGGTAAATTCGGAGGCAGGAAGTGAGAGGGGGAGGGAGAGAGGGAAACGGCAAACTGCACCCCAGCCCCTCCTGGCCTGGCACCCCTTCCAAATGGTGCAATGAGTGGGGTGAGTGGCGTGTGGAGTTGAGCGCAGCCCAGGGGACCCCCCTCTCTGGGAATAAGAACAGAGATAGCCCCGTCCCCTGCCCCCACCCCACAAATGAGTTACAGCTCTGTTTCCTCTTCTGTTTACTGTCCAAAGTCCCAGGCCAGGAGGTGCCAGGTTAGAGCTTGGACACTCAGACCCTCCAGTGCAGGCCTTGCCCGGACCAGCCCCTCCTCCACTCTCCTCTCCCCTGTGAGCTCCACCTGCCCCAGTTCTCCTGGCTTTAACCCCTCCTTGGCCAAGGCCAGGGTTGCCTGCGGGAGCCAGGTGTCCGCTCTCCACACCTTTCACAGGTAACTGAGGCTGGGGAGGCAACTGGGACGAGGATGCTTGGGAACAAGGAGGCCTTGGTTCAGGGATGGGGAGGACCCCATGGGAAGCTGTGGGTGGTCGGGTCCATGAGCGTGGGGAGGGGTCTCCTGGCCAGGTCAAGGCCCAAGCGGTCTCCTGAGAAGGGAAAGGACCCAGCGGGATTTCAAACCTCATCCCAAACGCCCTGCCAACCTCAGATCCTACCCAGGCCACCACCCCGAACCCCTCCGACCCTGCGTTCCATCCCACCATCAACCTCCACGTGAATCTGCACCTCTGCCCCAGCCCCAGCCCTCAGAGCAACCTCAGCCCAGCCCAGCCCAGCTCCAGCTCCAGCTCCAGCCCGGGCCCCATCATGGCCAAGGACTTTCAAGATATCCAGCAGCTGAGCTCGGAGGAAAATGACCATCCTTTCCATCAAGGTGAGGGGCCAGGCACTCGCAGGCTGAATCCCAGGAGAGGAAATCCATTTTTGAAAGGCAAGTGTGCAGTTTCTGCGGCTTTGCTCCCCCTCTGTCTCAGCTCATGATTGCTCTGTCCCTTTGAGGTCTCTGCCGCACCCACTCTGTGAACAGGGACTGAGGAGGGCCCGACACCCCCGCTTGTTCCCTCACCTCACCTTCCTGTCTACCCCAGGACCCCAGGAAAGGCATGTGCCAGAGGTGTGGGGAGATCTGGAAGATAACTGCCTGCCCTTCTCCTCCCAACCCAAGAACACATGTGCCTCGTATGTGCGTGTGCACGTATGTGCATATGAGGAATGCAGATTCAGCTGGGACTCTGTGTGTGTGTGTGAGTGAATGTTGTGTGTGTGTATATGTGCGCGAGAGCGTGCATATGTTGTGTGTGTGTATGTCGTGTATGTGAGAGGGTATGTTGTGTGTGAGAGTGTGTTGTGTGTGTATGTTGTGTGAGTATATGTTGTGTGTATCTTGTGTGTGAGTGTATGTTGTGTGTTGTGTGTGTATCTTGTGCATGTGTGTATGTTGTGCGAGTGTATGTTGTGTATGTGAGTGTGTGTATGTTGTGTGTATGTTGTGTGTATGTATGTTGTGTATGAGTGTGTGTATGTTGTGTGTGTGTACGTTGTGTATGTTGTGTGTGTGTTGTGTGTGTGTATTGTGTGAGTGTATGTATGTTTGTGTGTTGTGTGAGTGTTGTGTATGTTGTGCGTGTGTGTATGTTGTGCGAGTGTGTGTGTTGTGTGTGTATGTTGTGAGTGTGTTATGTATGTTGTGTGTGTGAGTGTGTTGCGTGAGTGTGTGTGTTAGTGTGTGTATGTGATTGTATGTGTGTGTGTGTGTGTGTGTAGAGGTGGGGTGAGTTGGGATGGGTGGGGGACGTGAGCACAGAGAGATCCTGGAAGATCCCTGCTCCTCTCATCTCCCAAGACCCTTCCCTGGATCCTTCTGTAATAAATCTTGACTGAAGGACCTAAGTATCTTGGACATTTTTTTTTTAGAGACAGGAGTGTAGTGGCAGGATCATAGCTCACTGCAACCTCGAACTCCTGGGCTCAAGCCATCCTCCCACCTCAGCCTCCCAAGTAGTTAGGACTTACAGGTGTGCACCACTGTGCCTGGCAAATTAAAAAAAATTTTTTAGAGAAATGGGGTCTTGCTATGTTGCCCAGGCTGGTGGGAAAAGATTTTAAGGTGAGAGAGATCTGAGCAGTGCTAGGCAGAAGGGCAAGAGCCAGGAATGGAGGAGTGTCAGGTGTGTGGGTGCTGGTGGTGGAGCCGGGTTCCATGGAGGCAGGAGGAGCAGGGGCTTGGAGCTTAGGAAGGGGATTGGTTAGCTGGGCTGGAATGAGGGACTCCTCATTCCTGAGGCTGGCCAACCGAGGGAGGGCCGGTGCTGGGCAGGGCAGGGCAGGGGACAGGAGGGATAGGAGGTCCCTCCCGAGGACCACTCAGGAACACCAGTAGCATCTCCTCTCTCTGTAGGGGGCTGGCTGGACTTCCCACCAGGCGGTGTCCCCACAGGCAGAGGCCCTGTCCGCCTCACTCTCCTCTGCAACTCCAGTGCCCACACGGCACCCGGTACATAGTGAACACTCAGAGAGAATACGGGATGCTGCTGAATCTTCTGAGGGTGACAGAATTTAGAGTTTGAGCAGGAGGCTTGGAGAGAGGCCAGGATTTCTGAAATTAATGGGAGAGTGAGCTCACGCGAATGGGCTGAGGGACACCAGTGAGGGACCGTCTGAAGGGATGTAGCAAAGTCACCGCATTTCCCTCCAGCAGCCCGGGTGGTGGGGGCTGGGGGAACGTCATCATGGGAGCTGACACTGATCAGCTGCTCACCGGGGCCCATCTTCCACTTGTCTCAGCACTTGATTTTTTTCTGCTACCCCCTTTTTCTTTTAAAGATTTCAATTATGCATGTATTAAGGGTCCCACAGCTCACTCATTCTCTTTCCATTTTTTAATTCTTTTTTCTCCCAGTGTTTCATTTTATAGAGTTATTGCTGTTCATTAAGTTAACTAAAATTTTCCCCTTCCCCTCCCCCTCCCCTCCCCTCCTTTCCTTCCCTCGCTTCCCCTCCCCTCTCTCTCTCTCATCTCACTCTGTTGCCCAGGCTGGAATGCAGTAGCTTGTCACAACTCACTGTGGCCTCCACCTCCTGGGCTCAGGCGATCCTTCCACTTCAGCCTCCCAGGTAGCTGGGACTATAGGCATGTGGCACCACACCTGGCTAATTAAAAATTTTTTTTTGTAGAGACGGTTTTGCCATGTAGAGGGGTTTTGCCATGCTGCCCAGACTAGTCTTGAGCTCCTGGGCTCAAGTGATTCCCCCCGTGTCGACCTCCCAAAGTGCTGGGATTACAGATGTGATCCACAGTGCCTGGCCCTAAATTTTTCTTACGCATTTCTCATCTTCCATTATTTCCATCCAGTGTGTTTTTTCTTTTCTTTCTTTTCTTTTTTTTTTTTTTGGAGGCGGAGTCTCGCTCTGTTGCCCAGGCCGGAGTGCAGTGGCGCGATCTTGGCTCACTGCAAGCTCTGCCTCCCGGGTTCATGCCATTCTCCTGCCTCAGCCTCCCGAGTAGCTGGGACTACAGGCGCCTGCCACCACGTCTGGCTAATTTTTTGTATTTTTAGTAGAGATGGGGTTTCACCATGTTAGCCAGGATGGTGTCGATCTCCTGACCTCATGATCTGCCCGCCTTGGCCTCCCACAGTGCTGGGATTCCAGGCGTGAGCCACGGCGCCTGGCCAGTGTGTTTTTTCATTTCAGACATTGTAGTTTTTATCTCTAGAAGTTCACCTGGGGACTCTTAAATATCCTCCACAATTCTACTTAATTTTTTGAACATAATGGGATATGGCTATAATATCTGTTTTACCATCCTTGCCTGCTAATTCTAGCATCCGTGTCAGTTCTGGATCTCTTTTGATATTTATGAACCTCCTCGTTATGCATTGTGTTTTCCCGTTTCATTGCATGCCTTGTAATCTTTGATTGGCTGCCAGACATTGTCAATTTCACCTTGTTGGGTGCTGGATATTTTTGTATTCCTCTAAATGTTCTTGAGCTTTGCTCCGGGATGCAGTTAAGCAACTTAGAGTCAGTTTGATCGTTTGAACTCTTAATTGTTTTGGTCTCCTCGGACTCTCAGCTCCATCTCCTCAACGTGGGGAGTCTCTTGGGCTCTGCCTGGACTTCCCTTTCCTGGCCTGTAACCTGCAGACTCTCTCCAAACAGTAAGCTGGGGTGATCGGAGGGTTCCTGTTGTTTGCTTCTTATCCCTCAGGGATCTTTACTCCTCCTTGCCTGATGTCCAGAGTCTTGAAAGCTGCCATGTTCTATAGTTGTCTGTTTTTGTTTTGATTGTTTCTGGGGAGAGAAGAACTCTTCCCATCTTGGGCAGACCCTGTCTTTTATGTTCAAACTTTTGCCTAAGAAGCACATTACATATTTTAACTCATCTAATTATCCGAGCAATCCAATCGGGTAGCTACGACTGTGATCTCCATTTTACACACGAGAAAATGGAAGCATGGAGAAATTGAATGCTGGTGCATGATCTCAGAGCTACCTGGAGGCACAGCTGGGCTACCCTGTGGGCAGTCTGGTTTCAGGGTGGATATACAGACACGTTGCTGGGCTGACCCAGCATTGGGAGTTGATAAGTCGGACTGGGAAGCAGGACAGGACCCTCTGAGTGGAGGGTGCTGAAGACAGCAGTCAGGGACTCAGCCATGGAGGGCCAGCTTGGTGGGGAACACCGTGGTCATGGAGCGCTTCTGGATGGAGAGGAATGCAAAGGCCTTGGAGGAAGGGGTGGGGGCAGTGAGAGGGAGGGTGGGGCTGTGCTCAGAGCGGGAGTGGGCAGTGGAGGTGTCAGAGGCCTCCCTGGGTCAAATGGGGTCCTGAGTGTGGCTGCAGTGGGGAAGGTGGAAGTCACTGGTGTGAAAAAGATGAAGAGTTATGGACAGTCACTTACAGGGGCAGTGTCTGACTCAGGACAGTGGCAGGAAGTGACCTGGGGAGGAAGATTCTGGGCCCCTGACTGAGCCTCCCCAGGATGTGGTCCTGCTGGGTCGGGGGGTGATAGGAATGAGAAGACAAGGAAGTCCACAGAGTCAGGGTCCAAGGCCTAGAAGGTGTTCTGTTTGCAGGTGGATGCTGCAAAGAGAGGAGCTCAGGGCTGGGACAACTGGAGCTGCTCTGGGTCTGGAGGCAGCAGAGAGGGAGCCCAGCTCTGTGTGCAGGAAGACGTGGGTGTGTGAGTGTACGTGTGTGGGTGTGTCAGGTGTGTGTGTGTGGGAGGGAGTATGAATGTGTGCATTAGCATGCATATGCACATGTGAGAGTGGGTACAGCAGAGCGTGGTCATGAGTGTGTGCAAATGTGTGTTTTTGAGTGAAGTGAGCAATGTGTGAGTGTGTGAGTGTGTGTGAGTTTGTGAGGGCATGTGAATGTGTGTGTCAGTGCTGTCAGGGTGCAGATGGATCAAGGGGCAGGAGAGGTACCTGTGAGATGACCTCGGGCTGAGGGGAGCAAATTTAGTGTGGAACGAGGTTTCTAGGGAAGCGAGGGCAAAGGGCGCTGGGGAGGAGGCCTTGCGTGGTGGGGGATGAGGACAACAGGTGGGACCTGGAGGGTTGTGCTTGGAGAGTGGGCTATGGTGGAATGACCCAGATTTAAGGATCTCAATGGAATTTTGGCAGGGGAGGGACTGTTCCAGTATGGATTTTAGGAAGAACACAGGGCCCAGCTTCTGGAGTCTCCAATCTGAGGGGACAGGAGCCTTAGAAGAGCTGAGACTAAGGCCCGAGGTGATCTGGAGGCCTCTGCCACTGGCTGGATGGGAGGAAAACCATTCACAGATCCCCCTTCTCAGGATGTGTGCCTAGGCAGGGCCGGGTCTGCCCCCCCGCCCCCTGTGCGTCTCCCAGTCCCCCAGCTCCAGGATCCGGGCTTTGCACACAGCTGATGTGAATATCCTGAGTCGTGTGCATGGGTGTGTGTGCACCAGATTAGCTGCGTGTGTATATTTATACATGGTAATATGGGTGCGAGTGTGTAAGAGTGTGTGTGTAATGCTCAAATGCTGGGGTCAAAGCCTATGATGACCCCCCCCCATGGCCCCAACCAATCCCCCCGCCCAGGTTATGCCTCCTCAGGCTTCGGTGCCCTGTCTTTACCCTCCGGCTCCCCACACCCAGGCTGCCGGCTCCTGATGCCCCTCTCCCACAGGGCCACCTCCTGCCCAGCCCCTGGCACAGCGTCTCTGCTCCATGGTCTGCTTCAGTCTGCTTGCCCTGAGCTTCAACATCCTGCTGCTGGTGGTCATCTGTGTGACTGGGTCCCAAAGTGAGGGTCACGGGGGCCAGCAGGGATGGGCAAGGGGTAGGGAAAGAGACATGGGCAGTGGCGGGCAGCGATCGGGGCGATGGGAGGGGAAGGGATGGAGGCGGGGTGGAGCACAAGCTGGGGCAAATGCGGGGACATTGAGGGGCCAGTCACATGGACAGTGATGGGGACACGGCCCCTCTGCCTCATCCTGCCCCCACTACCACCTGACAAGGTGCACAGCTGCAAGCCGAGCTGCGGAGCCTGAAGGAAGCTTTCAGCAACTTCTCCTCGAGCACCCTGACGGAGGTCCAGGCAATCAGCACCCACGGTGAGGGGCTGGACGGCTGGGTTCTCATTTATCCGCACAGGTTTGCTGGGCTCAGTGCCGAGTCTGCAACAGGGCTGTGTGGGGTGCCGTGGGGGTGCAGGCTGGGCAAGGCGTCCAGGGGCCCTGGGGGATGTATAGGAGGGAGGCAGGTGGGGACGGACGAGGTTAGTGCCAGGTGGAGAGGTTGGATCTGCGACACCCGGAGGTGAGGAAGGCACCATGTCTTGGGCCTGTGAGCAAATCGAGTGTGGCAGGCCCATCGGAGGGGCAGGCAGGTAAGGGGTGGCCAGAGAGAGGTGGGGAGGGGCCCGGCCACGCAGGTGAGCCGTGCTGACAGAGCGAGGCTTTATTTTGAGAAAATGGGGACCCATTGAAGGGACTGAAGCAGGAGAGTGGCCTGAGCCACTGTGGCAGTGCAGGGAGCCTGGGTGTGGTCCAGGAAGCCAGGAGGTGGACGCCTGCATCGCCCAGGACGAGGCGCTGGCCCCCGGTCCCCCAGCAGCATGAGGACGGAGGGAGGCTCAGCGGGGAAACAGCTGGCTTTCCGCTTCCAGGAGGCAGCGTGGGTGACAAGATCACATCCCTAGGAGCCAAGCTGGAGAAACAGCAGCAGGACCTGAAAGCAGGTCAGAGAGCCTCCGGGGTGTGTGCGCATGTGCGTGCATGTGTACGTGTGCGGTGTGTGTAGTGTGTACGTGTGCGGTGTGTGTAGTGTGCACGTGTGCGTGCGTGCGTGTGTGTGCCTGCAAGCATGTGTATCTGTGTCTCTCTCCGTATGTGTGGTGTGATATGTCATGGATCTGTGTGTGGTGTGTAGTGTGGTGTATATGTGTGTGTTGTGTGTGTATGCATGTGTGGTGGTGTGTGTGAGATGAGTCTGTGTGTGTGCGGTATGGTATATGTGTGTGTACGCATGTGATGTGTGTGGTGTGTCTCTTGGTGTGTTTGTGTGTGTGTGATGGATCTGTGTGTGGTGTGGTCTATGTGTGGTGTACATGTCTGTGGTGTGTGTGTGGTATGGTGTGTGGTGTGGTCTATGCATGGTGTACGTGTCTGTGGGTGTATATGCTTCCCCAGCCACAGGCTGGAGCCTAGCAGGTGGGGACCACACCTGCCGGCAGCACTTTCAGCCTGTCTGTCCTAGATCACGATGCCCTGCTCTTCCATCTGAAGCACTTCCCCGTGGACCTGCGCTTCGTGGCCTGCCAGATGGAGCTCCTCCACAGCAACGGTAGGGGTGGGGCCGTCTCCAGGCCCAGTGTGCCTGCCCCTCCGGCTGGATCTCATCTCCCTGCCCCCTGTCCCCTCAGGCTCCCAAAGGACCTGCTGCCCCGTCAACTGGGTGGAGCACCAAGGCAGCTGCTACTGGTTCTCTCACTCCGGGAAGGCCTGGGCTGAGGCGGAGAAGTACTGCCAGCTGGAGAACGCACACCTGGTGGTCATCAACTCCTGGGAGGAGCAGGTGAGGCCACGCTTCCCACAGGCAGGAGGAAGCCCTTGGAAGGCCTGCTCTGGGAGGCTGGATCAGGCTTATTTTATCCATTTTTTTTTTTTTTTTGAGATGGAGTCTCGCTCTGTCGCCCAAGCTGGAGTGCAGTGGCACGATCTCGGCTCACTGCAAGCTCCGCCTTCTGGGTTCACGCCATTCTCCTGCCTCGGCCTCCCAAAGTGCTGGGATTACAGGCACGTGCCACCATGCCCGGCTAATTTTTTTGTATTTTTAGTAGAGACGGGGTTTCACCGTCTTAGCCAGGCTGGTCTGGAACTCCTGACCTCATGATCCGCCCACCTCCGCCTCCCAAAGTGGTGGGATTACAGGCGTGAACCACCGCGTCTGGCTGAACTTCAAAGTATTTTAATGCCACAGTAGTTAAGCCATATGATACAGGGGCCAGAATATATGTATTGTTTGCATTACATCAGGCTCTGTTAGTACTTTACAGCATACTGTGAGTACGAACATATTTTGCTTTACTGATCAGGTTGAACTTGCCAACATTTCATCAGTTTTGACCTATAAAAATGTCAGTTTCATGCAGTTCAACCTAAGATCTCAGTGCTCTGTGATTTGGCACACAATAAGCTCATGACCACTACAACTTCGTGGTGGACGGTGCTTTCGTCACTATGAAGCCAACGTGTGTCCCAGTTAATGCTTTTTGCCTTGAATTTATCTGATATATAAATACCACGGTCCTTGATTTTTTTGTCACTTGCATTTGCTTGCTGTATCTCTGTCCATCCTTTTGTTTCTTACCTTTTTGAATCTCTGTTTTAAATTAATGATTCTCAGTCTTGACTGTACATTGCAATCTCTTCAAGAGTTAAAAAAAATATATCGACTCCTGGATCTCGCCCTTAAAAATGCTGATTTAGGCCGGGTGCAGTGGCTCACGCCTGTAATCCCAGCACTTTGGGAGGCCGAGGTGGGCGGATCATGAAGTCAGGAGTTCGAGACCAGCCTGGCCAAAATGGTGAAACCCTATCTGTACTAAACATACAAAAATTAGCCGGGCATGGTGGCGGGTGCCTGTAATCCCAGCTACTCAGGAGGCTGAGGCAGGAGAATCACTTGAACCCGGGAGGCAGAGGTTGTGGTGAGCTGAGACTGCGCCATTATACTCCAGCCCGGGTGACAGTGCGAGACTCTGACTCAAAAAAAAAAAAAAATGCTAATTTAAATTAATCTTGGCTTCATCCTGGACCATTCCCTGAGGGGCAGCACAGGGCAGCTAAGCTTAAGGTATTTCTCCTATATAGGTTTTTTGTTTTGTTTTGTTTTTGATACAAGATCTGGCTCTATCGCCCAGGTTGGAGTGCAGTGGCATGATCTCAGCTCACTGTAACCTGTGCCTCCCGGGCTCAACGGATTCTCCCACCTCAGCCTCCCAAGTAGCTGGGACTACAGGTGCACACCACCATACCTGGGTAGTTTTTTGCATTTTTAGTAGAAATGGTGTTGTGCCATGTTGCCCAGGCTGGTCTTGAACCCCTGGCCTCAAGCGATTCGCCCGCCTGGGCCTCCCAAAATATTGGGATTACAGGTGTCTGAGCCACTGTAATCCAAAAACTGCACCTGGCAGGTTTTGTTTTTGATGTTTAAAAATCTAATAAGTACCTTTTCTTTTAATAGGTGAGTGTCTCATTTACATTCTAATAGATATGTTTAACCCTAGTCCTTTCTTTTTTCTGCTTTACATGCTTCTTAATTTTCTTACAATTGCTATGTGAGAGGTGTTCTTTTTGTTTTCTTCTTTATGGTATTTTGGAAACTATGTAGTTTATTTAGAGTTATTCCAGTGATTACTTGTATAACTTTAAATAATAGGCTGAAAATTATTGGCTTTGAAAACTAAAAGTTTGTATAACTTCCATAGGAAAGGTGAGGAGACCAGGATACCTCTTATTCCCATGTGTCTGAGTCTTTCCTTTCCTAGGTTCCTTAAGTGTTGTATCTGAAAAAAAAAAAAAATTTTTTTTTTTTTTGAGATGGAGTCTTGCTCTGTCGCCCAGGCTGGAGTGCAATGGCGCGATCTTGGCTCACTGCAACCTCTGCCTCCCAGGTTCAAGCAATTCTCCTGTCTTAGTATCCCGAGTAGCTGAGATTACAGGCACCCGCCATCGTGCCTGGCTAACTTTTATATTTTTTAGTAGAGACAGGGTTTCACCATGTTGGTCAGGCTGGTCTTGAACTCCTGACCTCGTGATCCGCCCGCCTTGGCCTCCTGAAGTGCTGGGATTACAGGTGTGAGCCACCACGCCCGGCCCCTCAAGTGTTTTATCTGAAATTTTTTGTTTATTTTTATTTTTTGAAATGGAGACTTGCTCTTTCGCCCAGGCTGGAGTGCAGTGACACGATCTCGACTCATTGCAAGCTCTGCCTCCCGGTTCAAGCAATTCTCCTGCCTCAGTCTCCCGAGTAGCTAGGATTACAGGTGCCTGCCACCATGCCTGGCTAATATTTATATTTTTAGTAGAGACAAGGTTTCACCATGTTGGCCAGGCTGGTCTTGAACTCCTGACCTCAGGTGATCCTCCCGCCTGGCCTTCCCAAAGTGCTAGGATTACAGGCATGAGCCACTACGCCTGGCTTTTTTTTTTTTTTTTTTTTTTAAGACAGAGTTTTGCTCTTTTTGACCAGGCTGGAGTGCAATGGCACGATCTTGGCTCACTACAACCTCCGCCTCCCAGGTTCAAGCGATTCTCCTGCCTCAGCCTCCCAAGTAGCTGGGATTACAGGCATGCGCCAACACGCCTGGCTAATTTTGTATTTTTAGTGGAGATGAGGTTTCTCCGTGTTGGTCAGGCTGGTCTCCAATTCCCGATCTCAGGTGATTCACCTGCCTTGGCCTCCCATAGTGCTGGGATTACAGGCGTGAGCCACCACACCTGGGCTTTTTTTTTTAGTATGTAGCTCAAACTTTTCATTTCCTTTCCTTATCATGTTCTCTTTTTTTTTTATATCTTCTTTCATGTTTTATGTCATTCTTTTTAAAATTTTTGAAGCATGTAAAGAAACTGTTCTTGGGAGCGGGGAGGGAGAGCATTAGGAGATATACCTAATGTTAAATGACGAGTTAATGGGTGCAGCACACCAACATGGCACATGTATACATATGTAACAAACCTGCACGTTGTGCACATGTACCCTAAAACTTAAAGTATAATAATAATAAAAAAGAAACTGTTCTCCAACATCCCCTCATATTCCGAAACAAGGCTTCTTTTCAAAGTCTATTTTTCACCTCTCTTTTTGATATCACAGTTCATTTTTCATCTGCCTCATCTTCCTCTTTCTTTTTGGGGGCATAAGTTCCATGATGATTTTCTCCATTACTTTTGTGAATGGGCACAGTGCTTTCTTTCCTATGGTTCACCCAGGAAAGGGGGAATGAATTCTCCCGGACTGTCTTCTCTGATCATCTGGCATGATTTGATTCCTCCTCTCAGTCTTTAACACGGCGGGCTGGATACTGCTAATTTGTAGTCTGCTCAGTTGTTCTGTTTCTCGTGGTGATGGGAGGGAGGGCTGGCAGCAGGTAGCAGCACATAGTGTGTGTTGTCTCCAGGCACTTTCTCTCCAACTCCGTTGACTCCTCTGAATTTGGGGAGCAGCCTCACCTGCCTCTGAGGGCTGCCCCTTCATGCATGGGACTTTGTCCTATTTGTGGGATTCCAGAATTTAGGGATGCCCCAGTTTCTGATGCTCAATCGGAAGAGGTGAATAACTGCAACCTTAGTTGTTTTTCTAGAGAGTGAGAGTAGAATTAGGCAATTGTCCTTCAAATACTGTTGGAAGGAAAATTCCAGGCTGTCAAAGGGAATTGTTAAGTGTGCACGTTGCTCAACGGATCCATCCCTCTCCACTTTCTCCACAAAACCAGGTGACCACACCTTCCCCTCCTACCCTACCGAACCACGGGACCTAGGTCCCCAGGAACAGCTGTATGTGTAAGAGAAAGCCACTTGGAGGGGCTACCGTGCTGGGAGTGTGGGTGCGCGTGGGTCCCGGGGAGCTATCTGCAGGCTCGAAGTCCACTTTCACCCAAGCCCCTGGCAACTGGCTGTCCGGGCTGCTTCCTCACACCCCGGTGTCTTCCTATTTTGCCCCGATTGTCAGACTCCACGTAGCTAGATCATAATGGGGCCCTGGGCAGTGGGTCCAAGCTTAGAAGCTCCCGGGCCTGACAGATCTCAGGAAATGACAGCTACACATAGAAGCGAGAGCTACCAGGGGCCAATGTACTTGAGAGGCCAGTGAAACTGAGATCTTCAGTGGGTCTGGGGTCTGGGGGGCAGTAAGAGCAGGGACCAGGGTCGGGATCCCAGGAGTTCGAGGCTGTGGGCAGAAGACAGGGAGAGAACCGGAACTTGGGTAGAGCCATAAGCTGGGAATGAAGGGGGACACCGGCCCAGGGCTGTGAACAGGGGACAGTGGCCACTAACTCAGGTACAGGATTGGCTCTCTGGCTCTGCAACTCCCTGCAAAATGTGGTCACTGCAGTGCCCATCTTAGAGAGCTTCTGAGGATTAAATGAGATCATCTTTGCACAGACAGCACGAAGTCTAGCCTAGCAAATGTGCACTGAACAGTAGCTAGAGTGACGGAAGAAAAAGCTAGGAAGCAGTCTTGTCGGGAGCTGGTGCTTCAGCCTGAGGGCAGATCAGGCTGGGGAAGGCTGAGAGGGGCCACAGTTCCATGCCTGCATGGAGGGAGGAGAAAGGCACAAGAGACTAGAAATTTCCTGTTTGCCTGTGTTTCCAGAAATTCATTGTACAACACACGAACCCCTTCAATACCTGGATAGGTCTCACGGACAGTGATGGCTCTTGGAAATGGGTGGATGGCACAGACTATAGGCACAACTACAAGTAAGTGGCCTCTTCCCTCATCTCCTTGTTAGATTTCTCTGGGGACAGCCCCCTGGCCTTTCACTCCAAGCTACCCTGACTCGTCCCTCAGGGACCAAATTCCCCAATCCTCTCCTCCCCAGACTCCAACCCCTCCAAAGCTGTGCTCTTCTGGGCTGGGGGTGAGGGTTGCTGGGACTGGGCATAGGAAACATCTTTCTCTGCGGTTGGGTTCTCCCCAGACTGGGTAGCAGGGCACACCCCAGCTCCACTCTCGGCCTTCAAGGAAAATGGTCATGAAGAGGAGGAGGATGGGTAAGTCGCTTTCTCACCACCGTGGCAGAGTCCGAGTTTTCTCTTGCCTCCTTAGGAACTGGGCTGTCACTCAGCCAGATAATTGGCACGGGCACGAGCTGGGTGGAAGTGAAGACTGTGTTGAAGTCCAGCCGGATGGCCGCTGGAACGATGACTTCTGCCTGCAGGTGTACCGCTGGGTGTGTGAGAAAAGGCGGAATGCCACCGGCGAGGTGGCCTGACCCCAGCACACCTCTGGCTAACCCATACCCCACACCTGCCCAGCTCTGGCTTCTCTGTTGAGGATTTTGAGGAAAGGAAGAAACACTGAGACAGGGGTATGGGGAAGAGCTGAGCAAAGAGAGAAAGGAGGTAGTTTAAGAGTCCCTGACCCTGGAGGACTGAGATCCCACCTCCTTCTGTAATTCATTGTAATTATTATAATCGTCAGCCTCTTCAATGGCGTAGGAAAGAAGAAACAAATGCTTGAATCTCTGTGTGGCCTGGTTATTGGGAACTGAGAAACAGCATGCAAAGAGGAGGGAGAGGGGAGGGCATGGAAGACGCAAGGCGCGCATCCTAGACAGCTGCTCCTTGGTCCCTAATCCCGAGGGACATTGGTCAGGGAAACGGGAAAGGGGCTTGGAGCAGACAGGCTTAGTGGCTGGCACTGGTGGGAAAGGGGTCGGCCGGGCTGTGGCTGGAGGGTCCGCCTGGCTCCCAGTGAGAGGTGACAGCGTGCTGGCAGTCCTCACAGCCCTCGCTCGCTCTCGGCGCCTCCTCTGCCTGGGCTCCCACTTTGGCGGCACTTGAGGAGCCCTTCATCCCGCCGCTGCACTGTGGGAGCCCCTTTCCGGGCTGGCCAAGGCCGGAGCCGGCTCCCTCAGCTTGCAGGGAGGTGTGGAGGGAGCGGCGCTTGCGGGCCAGCGCGATTTCCGGGTGGGCGTGGACTCGGCGGACCCCGCACTCGGAGTGGCCGGCCTGCCCCACCGGCCGCGGGCAGTGATGGGCTTAGCACCTGAGCCAGCAGCTGCTGTGCTCAATTTCTCGCCACGCCTTAGCTGCCTTCCCGCGGGGCAGGGCTTGGGACCCGCAGCCCGCCATGCCTGAGCCTCCCCGACCCCCGCTCCGTGGGCTCCTGTGCGGCCCGAGCCTCCCCGACCAGCGCCGCCCCCTGCTCCAGGGCGCGCTCAGTGCCATCGACCACCCAAGGGCTGAGGAGTGCGGGCGCAGGGCGCGGGACTGGCAGGCAGCTCCACCTGCGGCCCCAGTGCAGGATCCATGGGGTGAAGCCAGCGGGGCTCCTGAGTCTGGTGGGGACTTGAAGAACCTTTATGTCTAGCTAAGGGATTGTAAATGCACCAATTGGCACTCTGTATCTAGCTCAAGGTTTGTAAACACACCAATCAGCACCCTGTGTCTAGCTCAGGGTTTGTGAATGCACCAATTGACACTCTGTATCTAGCTACTCTGGTCGGGAAGTCGAGAACCTTTGTGCCTAGCTCAGGGATTGTAAACGCACCAATCAGGCCAGATAAGAGAATAAAAGCAGGCTGCCCCAGCCAGCAGCGGCAACCCACTCGGGTCCCCTGCCACACTGTGGAAGCTTTGTTCTTTCGCTCTTTGCAATAAATCTTGCTGCTGCTCACTCTTTGGGTCCACACTGCCTTAAGAGCTGTAACACTCACCACGAAGTTCCGCAGCTTCACTCCTGAGCCAGTGAGACCATGAACCTACCAGAAGGAAGAAACTCTGAAGACATCTGAACATCAGAAGGAACAAACTCCAGACACGCCGCCTTTAAGAACTGTAACACTCACCGCGAGGGTCCGCGGCTTCATTCTTGAAGTCAGTGAGACCAAGAACCCACCAATTCCGGACACACCAGGGCTCCCAAAGGAAACATCTTTCTCTGCGGTTGGGTTCTCCCCAGACCGGGTCGCAGGGCATACCCCAGCTCCACTCTCAGCCTTCAAGGAAAATGGTCACGACGAGGAGGAGGATGGGTAAGTCACTTTCTCACCACCGTGGCTCTGTCTTTTTGACCCCAAGCGGATCTAGACATATCTTCAACACAGGGTGTCACCAACAATCTCCACAGTGGGCAAACTTCCCGCTCCAAGAACATTCTGAAACTGACCTTAAAAAGACTATTCAGCGGTTATATTATTTATTTAAGTTGGAGTCTTGCTGTGTTGCCCAGGCTGGAGTGCAATGGTGCGGTCTTGGCTCACTGCAACCTCCACCTCCCGGGTTCAAGCGATTCTTCTGCCTCAGCCTCCCGAGTAGCTGGGATTACAGGCATGCGCCACCACACCCAGCTAATTTTTGTATTTTTAGTAGAAACAGCGTTTCGCCATGTTGGCCAGGCTGATCTTGAACTCCTGACCTCGGGTGATCCGCCCGCCTCTGCCTTCCAAAGTGCTGGGATTATAGGCATGAGCCACGGGGCCCGGCCCCATATTTTTAAATTTTTAAAGTACAGAAGTAATACATTCTATTAGTAAAAAAATGTTTTAAATGACACACACACACGCACGCACACGAGTGTCCTCTCAGTCCTCCTCCGTCTCCCCAGAGTCAACTCTTTCCTGTGTCCCCTGCCAGAGCCCTTCCTGTGTACATGAGTAGATGCAATATTATGTCATTACATAGTGCCTGTTCCGCTTCACAGTGTCTCGTGGACACCAGTCTAATCTATGCCATTACCTGGCAGGTTTTACCTCCTTGGATTTAGCAGCTGTAGAGAATTCCAAAGTAGGGATGTACCATGCATTATGTAATCATTCTCTGTAGGGGGCAAGTAGTTACCACTTTTGTTTCTTTGTTTTCACATAGAATGTTTCAAAGTAATTTTTTTGCTCATAAGCTTGGGATAGGTCAAGACTTCCCACTTTTCAGTTGAAAAATTTTCTAGGATTGCCCCTTCAAAATGTACACGATTGGGATTAAATTTAAAAAACCGTGAAAATAGGCTGGGTGCAATGGCTCATGCCTATAATCTTAGCATTTTGAGAGGCTGAGGTGGTGGGTCGCCTGAGCTCAGGAGTTTGAGACTAGCCTGGGCAATATGGCGAAACCCAGTCTGTACAACATGCACACACACACACACACACCCCAGCTGGATGTGGTGGTGCATCCCTGCAGTCCCAGCTACTTGGGAGGCTGAGATGAGGGGATAGTTTGAGCCCAGGAAATTGAAGCTGCAGTGAGCTGTGACTGTGTCACTACACTGCAGCCTGGGTAAGACAGCGAGATCTTTTCTCAAAAAATAAATTATGGAAGTAATAATACACTCTAAAGTTTTATAGGACTAGAATTTTTATAGAAAAGTAGAAATTTTATAAAGTCTATAAAACTAGAAGTATAAAGTCTATAAAACTAGAAGTTTTACAGGGCTCTAGGTTACTTGACCTGCCCCCTTTAGCTCCTCTTGCTGCCTGGAGAAACTGCTTTCAGTGATTCTAGCTGTTTCTTCTAGTACTGACATCTGCAGTTCTAAGTAAGACACACAAACTGATATTTCATCTTCGTATGAGTTGTAGACATTATTTAGTCGCTATCATGTAAACGAGGTAAAATCTTCCAATGTAGTCTACAATTTATATTTAAATACTACTTTAAAATTTGTATCAGTTGTATCTGTGTCAATATGGTTACTGCTGAGTCAACTACTATAATCTGATTACATTCCCTTTCTTGCACAACTCTCATTTCTTCTGAAAGTAGTCAGTATTCCATTAAAAAAATTTGCCTCATATTCTTTTAACTTATTGCTGAGTCTTCCTGAACTGTAAAAAGCTTGACAATATAATTTTTCCAGACGTGCAAACCAGTCGTATAATCAGTATTTTAGTTGTACTTGGTGTACTTTTTCCTAGAGCCAGAGAAGTGATTCCAAGTTTTATGGGGCCTGAGGTGTACACAATTTTGGGGAGCCCTCTGTAAGAACAATTACAAAATTATGGATATAAAATTAAGCATAAAAATTACCATTTATTTAAATTTAAAAAGTCACAAATTTCAAAAGCAGAGAGCTACCAGAAACATCACAGAATCTAGAAAATGCTATATATACATATATATATAAATTGTATGTGTACATATACATATATATGTGTATACACACACACACACACACATATATATATATATATATTTTTTTTTTTTTTTTGAGACAAAGTCTCGCTCTGTCACCCAGGCTGGAGTGCAGTGGCATGATCATGGCTCTCTGCAGCCTCAAACACCTGGGCTCAAGTGATCCTCCCACTTCAGCCTCCCAAGTAACTGGGACTATAGGTGCATACCACCACGCCTGGCTAATTTTTAAATTTTTTATAATGATAGGGTCTCACTAAACTGGGTTCAAGACCAGAAGGCCTTCTGGTTCAAGACCAGTTTGAGCCTCCTGGTCTCAAACTCCTGTGCTCAAGCGATCCATCTGCCTCGGCCTCCCAGAATGCTGGGTTTCCAGGGTTGTTACAGGTAGTTAGACAGGCATGAGTGGGCAGGAGGGGGCTTTCCCGCCCACTAGAAATGTTGGGTGATGGTTCAGCAATGATCACATCGCCTCTCTAAAAGTGATAAATTGGCCTTGCTCTTGTCGCCCAGGCTGGAGTGCAGTGGCACGATGTTGGCTCACTGCAACCTCCACCTCCCGGGTTCAAACAATTCTCTGCCTCAGCCTCCTGAATAGCTGGGATTACAGTCACCCACCACCACGCCTGGCTAATTTTTGTGTTTTTAGTAGAGATGGGGTTTCACCATCTTGGACAGGCTGGTCTTGAACTCCTGACCTCGTGATCCACCTGCCTCGGCCTCCCAAAGTGCTGGGATTACAGGCATGAGCCGCTGGACCCGGCCATGGAATTGACTTTCAAACTCAACGTAATTCCCTCGAGATTTTTACAAGTTGTTGCATGCGTCAACAGTTCATTTCTTTCTGTTGCTGAGCGCTATTCTATGGTATAGATAGACGTACCACAGTTCGTTTAGCCATTTACTCATTGAAGGACATCTGGGTTGTTTCCAGTCTTTGGCTGTTGCAAATACGGCTGCTATGAATATTCATGTGCAAGTTTTTGTGTGAACACACATTTTTATTTCTCTGGGAGAAATGCCTGAGTGCAATTTCTGGGTCATATAGTGGGTGCATGATTACTTTTAAAAGAAACTGCCAAACTGTTTTCCAGAGTGGTTGTACCATTTTATATTCCCACCAGCAATGTATAAATGATCCAGTTTGCCCACTTCCTCACCTGTATCTGGTTGTTGTCAGTATTTTAAAGTTTTAGCTCTTTGGATAGATATATAGTGATACATTACTGTGGTTCTAATTTGCGTTTCTGTGGCAGCTAATGAGGTTGTACATTCGTTCATGTGCTTATTTTCCATCTGCTTATCCTCTTTGGTAAAACATCTCTTCATGTCGTCTGCCCATTTTCTTTCTTTCTTTCTTTTTTTTTGAGACAAAGTCTCGCTTTGTCACCCAGGCTGGAGTGCAGTGGCGCGATCTCGGCTCACCACAACCTCTACCTCCCAGGGTCAAGTGTTTCTCCTGCCTCAGCCTCCCGAGTAGCTGGGATTACAGGTGCTCGCCACCACGCCCGGCTAATTTTTGTATTTTAGTACAGATGGGGTTTGCTATGTTGGCCAGGCTGGTCTCGAACTCCTGACTTCAGGTGATCCGCCTGCCTCGACCTCCCAACGTGCTGGGATTACAGGCGTGAGCCACTGTGCCCAGGTTTCTGCCCATTTTCTAATTGAGATTGTTTGTTTTTTCACTGTCAAGTTTTGATAATTCATTATATATTCTAGGTACTAACCCTTTGTTGGATAGGTGGTTTGCAAATATTCTCTCCAAGTCTGTAGCTTGTCATGTTATCCTCTTAACAAAAACCCCTTTCCAAAAAGACTAATATGGTAAACAACATCTTGGCAAGCCCAATTAAGGAACTGAGAAAAGTGACATGACCACAAGAAATAGGGAGGTTAAATGACACTTTTCCTGTTGTTATAGAGATTTGGCTAGATTCCCAAAGTTGAGAATGATCATTGGTAAGTGCCCATTTAAAACAGAGAAAAGCTGGATGCATGTAGGCAGGACTAACTAAGAGAGGCAACATAATCACCATCACTCTTCCCAGGCTACGCAAAAGATGAATGGAGATTTAAGGGGATTGTTTCAAAGCAATTCTTTTTTGTTTTTTTATTTTTTGAGATGGAGTCTTGCTCTGTCACCCAGGCTGGAGTGCAGTAGCGCGATCTCGGCTCACTGCAACCTCCACCTCTTGGGTTCAAGTGATTCTCCTACCTTTGCCTCCTGAGTAGCTGGGATTACGGGCACCCGCCATCATGCCTGGCTCCTTTTTGTGTTTTTAGTACAGACAGGGTTTCACCATGTTGGCCACGCTGGTCTCGAACTCCTGACCTCAAGTGATCCACCTGCCTCGGCCTCCCAAAGTGCTGGGATTACAGGCGTGAGCCACCGCGCCCGGCCTCAAGGGAATTCTTAGATGTGTAGCAAGGGATTCAACACTTTTTCCCTCCACAGGAAGGGGAATGCTTCTTTAAACCTCTATCAGTGAGATAATAGAGTTGCAAGGGAACTGTTTGTAGAGACAGTGGTTGTCTGCCAGGGGATAACACGAGCATCTCCCTGCCAGGCCTGATGGTAGCCTTATAAGATGCAGACACCACTGGGACCACTGTGGAATGCTACGTGAGAGGGGCAAGAAGAGTTTTAGTGGAGGCTATGGCTGTGTCCTCAGGAGTTTTGTGGCAGTTGTGAAGAAACAGACTCATCTCTGCTTCTTGACAGGAGAAGTCTGAAGACAAACATCTGGGCTGGAGTTGCCCCGTCCACCAGTCAATCAGGCTGCACTTGGTAGTCTGGCAGCATAATGTCAGAGAACCCGTGAGCCGAGGCGACTCTATAGATGTCAGGCTTGAGCCAGCTAGGAAGGACCCTGCCCAAGAGGACTGCATGGCAGAGCGAGGCTGTAAGAGGCGGTGGGTGTACAGTTTTCATCTGGGCAGGAACTGGTGGTGAACGGCTGGGTCACAAAAGATCCTGCGGGGGTCTCTGGACACCCCCAATAGACCTCATGAAAGCCAGTGTCGGATGCTTGCTGTGAAGACCTCCTCGACTGCCACACTAGCACAGATGGCAGCGCTGGTTTCCTTGCATTCTTCTCTCCCTTGACCCAGCCCTTGAGGAGTACTGAGAAGAGGAAAAGAAACAGAAAGGAGGAACAGAACCTCCCAGGACTCCAGTCCTGGCTTCTCTCAGTCAGTCCCCGAGATGATTCTTATGAAAGTGATTCACTAGAAAGTGCTCTTAGGAGAAGTGGACAGGAGAATGGGGAATCAGGAAGAGGAAGGGAAGGAAGGCAAGCGTGCATGCAATTGAAGCTCGCTGTGAGAGCTTGGTTCTTGGGAAAGGAATTCATCAGGAAGTGCTCGAAGGCAAGCCTTGCATTGTTGGTGGTGGTGTAACTATCTCAATCCCACTGGGGAGCATTGGAAACAGTGTAGGTCACATCTCAGAGTTGCCCCCATTAGGAACAGGGGAGCTGGAGTACTCACACCTCAGAACGCAACAGTCACGGGCTATCATCCATTCTGTGACTTCCTGCCTTCTGTAGCGGCGTGAAGGCAGTCCTCCGACAGACAGACAGTGGTGCTGAGTGTTAAGAAAAAAATCGGCCGGCGTGGTGACTCACGCCTGTAATCCCAGCACTTTGGGAGGCCGAGGCAGGCGGATCATGAGGTCGGGAGATTGAGACCATCCTGGCTAACATGGTGAAAACCCGTCTCTACTAAAAATACAGAAAATTAGCAGGGTGTGGTGGTGTGTTTCTGTAGTCCCAGCTACTCGGGAGGCTGAGGCAGAATTGCCTGAACCTGGGAGGCGGAGGTTGCAGAGCCGAGATCGCGCCACTGCACTCCAGCCTGGGCGACAGAGCGAGGCTCCATCTCAAAAAAAAAAAAAAAAAAAAAAAAGGTTTGCTTTAGTCTGGGCTGGACTTTTGAGACCTGAAATTAAAACTGTCTTTGACAGCTGAATGTATAGGAAGAAAAATCCAAAAAAAGTCTATTGAATAACAATGAATGACATATTAGTAGATGATGCCCTTTATCAGATTGGGGAACTTTCCTTCTATTCCTAGTGTACTAAGAGTATTTAAAAAAATCATAAATGGATATTGAATTTTGTCTAATGCCTTCTCTCCATGAGTGGATACAATTTTGTTGCTTTTCTTCTTAGACTGTTAATATGCTGGATTATATTAATTGACTTCCGAATATTGAACCAGTCTTTCAGGCCTGAGATAAGCACTACTTAGTTATAGTATATTATCCTTTCATGTATTGCTAGTTTCCAATTGCTAATATTTTGTTGAGACTTTTATGTCTATGTTCATGAGAGATATCGGTCTGTAGTTTTCTTTACTTGTATTACCTTTGTCTGCTTTCAGGAGCAGAGCAAATGCTAGCCTAAGAAAATGAGTTGGGAAGTGGTCCCTCTTCTATTTTCTGGAAGAGATTGCGTAGAATTGGTGTTACTTCATCTTTAAATGTGTGGTAGAATTCGCTAGTTAAGCCATCTGGGCTGGTGATTTCTGTTTTGGAAGGTTTTAAACTATGAATTCAATTTCTTTTTTTTTTTTTTTTTTTTTTTTTTTTTTTTTTTTACTTTGAGACAGTGCCTCTGTCGCCTAGGCTGGAGTCAATGGTGCAATGATGGCTCACTGCAGCCTCGGCCTCCTGCAGTGAGTGTACAGCTGGTGGGTGTACAGCTGAGTTCACCTTTCCACCTCAGCCTCCAGAGTAGCTGGGACCACAGGTGCAACCCACCACACCCGGCTCATTTTTGTATTGTTTCGTAGTGATGGAGTTTTGCCATGTTGCCCAGGCTGGTCTCAAACTCCTGAGCTCAAGTGATCCTCCCGCTTCGGCCTCCCAAAGTGCTGGGATTACAGGTGTGAGCCATCATGCCTGGCTAAAATCAATTTCTTTATAGTTCTAGAACGATTTATTTATTTATTTATTTATTTATTTATTTATTTATTTGAGACAGAGTCTTGCTCTGTCGCCCAGGCTGGAGTGCAGTGGCGTGATCTTGGCTCACTGCAACCTCCACCTCCTGGGTTCAAGCGATTCCCCTGCCTCAGCCTCCCGAGTAGCTGGGATTACAAGCGCCTGCCACCATGCCCAGCTAATTTTTTGTATTTTTAGTAGAGATGGGGTCTCCTATTAGCCAGGATGGTCTCGATCTCCTGACATTGTGATCCTCCCGCCTCAGCCTCCCAAAGTGCTGGGATTACAGGCGTGAGCCACTGCGCCAGGCCCTATTCAGTTTATTTATTTAATCTTGGGTAAATTTTGGTAGTTAGTGGTTTTTGAGTCATTGTTCCATTTCGTTTAAACTGTTGAAATTTTGTGCGTAATCATAATGGTCCTTTATTATCCTTCTAATCTTTTCAGGGTCTGTAGTGAAATCCCCTATTTTATTCTTGATAATAGTTGTGGGCGAAAGAGTACCTAGGTGCCGAGGCAAGAGACTGAAGGCACAAACTGTTTCAGTATAATAAAAAAAATAGTTAGAATAAGAATAGTCATAATACAAATTAGATATAGAGATGATCATGGACAATTATCAATCATTATTATAAACATTATTAATCATTAGCTTTTAATATTACTGCTTGTTGCATTACTAATATAACCTAGGAATAACCGGCAGGTATAGGGTCAGGTGCTGAAGGGACATTGTGAGAAGTGACCTAGAAGGCAAGAGGTGAACCTTCTGTCACGCTCGCATAAGGGCCGCTTGAGGGCTCCTTGGTCAAGCGGTAACGCTAGTGCCTGGGAAGACACCCGTTACTTAGCAGATCGCGAAAGGGAGTCTCCTTTCCTTGGAGGAGTCAGGGAACACTCTGCTCCATCAGCTTCTTGTGGAAGGCTGGATATTATCCAGGCCTCCCCGCAGTCATCCAGAGGCCTAAACCCCTCCCTGTGGGGCTGTGCTTCAATGCTCACGCTCCTTGTCCACTTTCATGTCCTCCCGTACTCCTGGTTCCTCTTTGAAGTTCGTAGTAGAGAGCGGTAGAAGAAATAGTGAAAGTCTAAAGTCTTTGATCTTTCTTATAAGTGCATAGAAGAAAACGCTGACGTATGCTGCCTTCTCTCTCTACTTCGGCTACCTAAAAGGGAAGGGCCCCCTGTCCTGTGATCACGTGACTTGCTGCATCTTGTCAATCACTTAGAAGATTCACCCTCCTTCCCCTGCCCCCTTGTCTTGTATGCAGTAAATATCAGCGCAACCAGCCGTTCGGGGCCACTACCGGTCTCCGCGTCTTGATGGTAGTGGTCCCCCGGGCCCAGCTGCTTTCTCTTTATCTCTTTGTCTTGTGTCTTTATTTATTACAATCTCTCGTCTCCGCACACGGGGAGAACACCCGCTAAGCCCCAAAGGGCTGGACCCTACAAATAGTATTTTGTAGTGTCTGCTTTTTTCCCTCTTCATCAGTTTTGCTAGAGGTTTATCAATTGTATTGATCTTTTCAAGTAACCAGATTTTGGTTTCATTGATTTTCTCTACTGTTTTTCTGTTTTCAGCTTCATTGATATCTGCTCTTATCTTTGTTATTTCCTTTCTTTTGCTTGTTTGGAGTTTCTTTTGTGTTTCTTTTTCTAATTTTGTAAGGTGGGAACTTAGATTATTGACTTAAGAGAACTTTCTTCTTTTTAACGTAAGCATTTTATAATAAATTTCTTTCTAAGTGGCCAGGTGTGATAGCTCACGCCTGTAATCCCAACACTTTGGGAGGCTGAGGTGGGTGGATCACTTGAGGTCAGGAGTTTGAGACCAGCCTGGCCAACATGGTGAAACCCTGTCTCTACTAAAAATACAAATATCAGCATGCCTGTAATCCCAGCTACTTGGGAGGCTAAGGCAGGATAATCTCTGGAACCTGGGAGGTGGAGGCTACAGTGAGCCAAGATCACACCACTGTACTCCAGCTGGGGCGACTAAGTGAGACTGTCTCAGAAAAAAAAAAAAAAAGATATTTTCTTATTGGACGACAGTCGGTCCCTAAGGCTCTGCTATTTTTTTCCTATTTTTTTTTTCTCTCTGTTCCTCAGCTTGGGTAGTGTCTATGGATGTATCTTCAAATACACTGACTCCTTTGTTATTCCATTCTGCTCTAGGTTCAACCATTGAGTTTTTTGTTTCAATTATTGTGCCTTTCAATTTTAACATTTTTATTTTTTTAATTTTAAAAATTCTATTTATTTAATTTTTTTGAGATAGGGTCTTGCTATGTTGACCAGGCTAGAGTGCAGTGGCATGATCATGGCTCACTGCAGCCTTGACCTCCTGGCCTCAAGCAATCCTCCCACCTTAGCCTTCTCAATAGCTGGGACTACAGGTGCATGACACCACGCCCAGCTAATTTTTAATTTTTTTTTTTGTAGAGACAGAGTCTCACAATGTTGCCCAGGCTGGTGTTGAACTCATGGCCTCAAGTGACTCTCCTGCCGTGGGCTCCAAAAGTGCCAGGATTGTAGGCATGAGCCACTGCACCTGGCCAGTTTTAATGTTTTTATTTGGTTCTTCTTTATAGCCTCTATTTCTTTACCAAGGCTTTCTATTTTAACATTTGTTTCAAGAGTGTTATCAATTGCTCACTCAAGCATTCTTATAATATCTGATTTAAAGTCTGTCAGAGAATTTCAACATCGTTGTCATCTTGGCACTGCCTTTTACCATCAGGTCAAACTTTTTGTTGTTCTTTATATGTCAAATGATTTTGGATTGTATTCTGGACATTTTATTTTATTTTGTTTTATTTTTGAGATGGAGTCTTGCTCTGTCGCCCAGGCTGGAGTGCAATGGTGCGATCTTGGCTCACTGCAACCTCAGCCTCCCGAGTAGCTGGGATTACAGGCGTGTGCCACCATGCCCAGCTAACTTTTGTATTTTTAGTAGAGACGAGGTTTCACCATGCTGGCCAGGCTGGTCTTGAACTCCTGACCTCAGGTGACTCACCTGCCTTGGCCTCTCAAAGTGCTGGAATTACATGCATGAACCACTGGGCCCAGCCTATTCTGAACAATTTAAATGTTAAGTTATGAGATTCTAGGTCTTGTTTAAATTCTATAGAGACTGTTGATTGAAGGGGCCAGCCCCTCCACACCTGTGGGTGTTTCTCGTCAGGTGGGATGAGAGACTGAGAAAAGAAATAAGACACAGAGACAAAGTATAGAGAAAGAACAGTGGGCCCAGGGGACCAGTGCTCAGCATACAGAGGACCCGTGCCGGCACTGGTCTCTGAGTTCCCTCAGTAGCTATTTTATTTTATTTCATTTTATTTTATTTTATTTTTGAGATGGAGTCTCGCTGTCGCCCAGGCTGGAGTACAGTGGCGCGATCTCGGCTCACTGCAGGCTCCGCCCCCCGGGGTTCACGCCATTTTCCTGCCTCAACCTCCACAGTAGCTGGGACTACAGGCACCCACCACCTCGCCCAGCTAATTTTTTGTATTTTTAGTAGAGACGGGGTTTCACCGTGTTCAGGATGGTCTCGATCTCCTGATCTCGTGATCTGCCCGCCTCAGCCTCCCAAAGTGCTGGGATTACAGGCGTGAGCCACCGCGCCCGGCTCCCTCCGTATTTATTGATCACTATCTCTACCATCTCGGAGAGGGGGATGTGGCAGGACTATAGGGTAATGGTGGGGAGAGGGTCAGCAGGAAAACGTGAGCAAAGATCTCTGTGTCATAAATAAGTTTAAGGAAAGGTGCTGTGCCTTGATGTGCACATAGGCCAGATTTATGTTTGACTTTACACAAACATCTCAGTGCATTAAAGAGCAGTATTGCCGCCAGCATGTCTCACCTCCAGCCATAAGGCGGTTTTCTCCTATCGCAGTAAATAGAACATACGATCGGGTTTTACACCGAGACATTCCATTTCCAGGGATGAGCAGGAGACAGATGCCTTCCTCTTATCTCAACTGCAAAGAGGCCTTCCTCTTTCACTAATCCTCCTCAGCACAGACCCTTTACGGGTTTTGGGCTGGGATCTTTCCCTTCCCATGAGGCTGTATCTCAGGCTATCACATGGGGAGAAACCTTGGACAATACCTGGCTTTCCTGGGCAGAGGTCCCTGCAGCCTTCCGCAGTGCACTGTGTCCCTGGGTACTCAAGATTAGAGAATGGCGATGACTTTTACCAAGCACACTGCCTGCAAACACATTTTTAACAGAGCACATCCTGCACAGCCCTAAATCCGTTAAACCTTGAGTCAACACAGCACATGTCTCTACAAGCACAGGGTTGGGGCTAGGGTTACAGATTAACAGCATCTCAAGGCAGAAGAATTTCTCTTAGTACAGAACAAAATGGAGTTTCTTATGTCTACTTCTTTCTACGTATGCACAGTAACAGTCTGATCTCTCTTTCTTTTCCCCACAGTTGATATTTTTGTTTAGCAGGCAATTGACCTGGTTAGGTTGAGGCTGTGTGTTCCAACACACCTCTGTAGGGTATGGTTCCAATGTCAGTTCAGTTCTAAAGCCTTTTGATATGTTATGTTCTCTTCTGTTTTTTTTTTTAGATCTCTTTAGGTCTGTCATGACTGTGTGCCACTCTGGTTAGTGTGCGGCATGAGCGGTAGTTTGTTCGTGAGTTTAGATCTGAAAGTCTTTAGGATGCTAATTAGGGTGAGATCCTTACAATCACGGCTCAGTGGTCAGCCCTGGAGCTCATCAACAGCTTTACAGTGTAGCTTTCCCAAGCATACATATCTTCATGGTCTCCCTGGTACTCTCTGGTTTCCTGCAGCTCTTCTTTTTGGCTCTATCGTGAGAAACTCGTCTAAATGGAGGAAGGGCACAGAGAAAAAAAAAAACAATAACAACACAAAGGCATTCTCAATTTATTGGAACTGCAGCTCCCTTACACAGAGAGGAAGGTTCTTCTCCCTTAAAGTTTTGGCCTCTTCTGGCCCTAGTCATCCCAGTGCTGCCATTGCTGCCATGAGATTGACCATGGACATGGCACAAGAAAAGAAAGGGGGAGGCTGGGCGTGGTGGCTCACACCTGTAATCCCAGTACTTTGGGAGGCCGAGGTGGGCGGATCACAAGGTCAGGAGATCAAGACCATCCTGGCCAACATGGTGAAACCCTGACTCTACTAAAAACACAAGAATTAGCTGGGTGTGGTGGCATGCGCTTGTAGTCTCAGCTTCTCAGGAGGCTGAGGCAGGACAATCGCTTGAACCTGGGAGGCGAAGGTTGCAGTGAGCGGAGATCCCGCCACTGCACTCAAGCCTGGACAGAGCAAGACTGCGTCACAAAAAAAAAAAAAAAAAAAAAAAAAAGAAAAAAAGAAAAAGAAAAGAAAGGGGGGAAAAGTCCACAGGAGATTTCTGTATTTCCTGTGAGTGTTAGGAGTTCCTCAAGCCAGGCCTAGAAAGCATTTCCTGGAGCTCCCTCTATCCATGCCACAGTGTTCATTTCCAGAATTTTGGCCATGCTGAACTCAGGTTGGGGAACCATAGAAGAAAAAATGGTAAACTTGCTGCCAGTTCAGTGATACTTCAAATTCTGGTGTTTTTCTATGACAAACATGTTACAATTCATTTTTCAGGGTTTTCAATAAGCTGATGCATATATTCTACCCACATTTTAGAGTTGTATTCAATGGGACAGAAAGGATGGAATGTGTTTCCATCATTTTACCTGGAACTGGAAGCCCTCAATAAATGTTTAAAGCTAAAAATAATACATTTTCTAAGATCAAAATGGAATTAAATATTAAATATATTAAATCAATAACAAAAAAAGTGGAAAAAAAAATCCAAATATTTTGGAATTAAACAATATACCTCTGAATCACCTATGGATCAAAAAAGAAACCATAAATTAGAAGATATTTTTAACTGAATGAAAATGAGGGCCCTGCGCGGTGGCTCACGCCTGTAATCCCAGCACTTTGGGAGGCCGAGGCAGGTGGATCACGAGGTCAGGAGATCGAGACCATCCTGGCTAACACAGTGAAATCCCGTCTCTACTAAAAATACAAAAAATTAGCCGGGCATGGTGGCGGGCACCTTTAGTCCCAGCTACTTGGGAGGCTGAGGCAGGAGAATGGAGTGAACCCGGGAGGTGGAGCTTGCAGTGAGCCAAGATAGCGCTGCCACTGCACTCCAGCCTGGGCGACAGAGCGAGACTCCGTCTCAACAACAACAACAACAAAAAGAAAATGAGAAGATGCTGCATTCAAAACAATGCTTAGATGAAATTTTACAACATTCATTGCTTATACTAGAAAAAGAGAAAGGGCCAAAAATCAAAGAATCTAAGCTTCTACCTTAAGAGACCAGAAAAAGATGTTTATATCCAATGTACAAACATGAAGAAAATAAGAGCGGAAGTCAATGAAATAAACAAACAAGGAAAATTAATTATACCAGAAACTGTTTCTGAAAAGATCAATAAAATTGATAAAATTGATAGAAAAAAAGTGTGAAGACATAAATTGCCAGTGTTGGCCAGGTACAGTGCTCATTCCTGTAATCTCAGCACTTTGGGAGGCCAAGGTGGGCAGATCACTTAAAGCTGAGAGTTTGAGACCAGCCTGGCCAACGTAGTAAAACCCCATTTCTACTAAAAATACGAAAATTGGCCGGGTGTGGTGGCTCACGCCTGTAATCCCAGCACTTTGGGAGGCCGAAGCAGGCGGATCCCGTGGTCAGGAGATCGAGACCATCCTGGCTAACACGGTGAAACTCCGTCTCTACTAAAAATACAAAATGGTGGCGGGCGCCTGTAGTCCCAGCTACTCGGGAGGCTGAGGCAGGAGAATGGCGTGAACCCGGGAGGCGGAGCTTGCAGTGAGCCGAGATCGTGCCACTGCACTCCAGCCTGGGCAATGAGCGAGACTCTGTCTCAAAAAACAAACAAACAAACAAAACGAAAATTAGCTGGGCATGGTGGCGCACGCCTGTAATCCCAGCTACTTGGAAGGCTGAGGCGCAAGAATCTCTTGAATCTGGTAGGCAGAGGCTGCATGAACCGAGATCATGCCACTGCACTCCAGCCTGGGCAACAGAGTGAGACTCTGTCTCAAAAACAAACAAACAAACCCCCAAATTGCCAGTGTTAAGAATGAAAGAAAATATAAGGCCGGGCGCAGTGGCTCACGCCTGTAATCCCAGCACTTTGGGGGGCCGAAGCGGGCAGATCACAAGGTCAGGAGATCGAGACCATCCTGGCTAACATGGTGAAACCCTGTCTCTACTAAAAATACAAAAAAAAAAAATTAGCCAGGCGTGGCGGCGGGCGCCTATAGTCCCAGCTACTCGGGAGGCTGAGGCAGGAGAATGGCGTGAACCCGGGAGGCAGAGCTTGCAGTGAGCCGAGATGGCGCCACTGCATTCCAGCCTGGGCGACAAGTGAGACTCCATCTCAAAAAAAAAAAAAAGAAAGAAAATATAAATACAGCTCCTACATACATCAAAAGGATAATATGAACAACTTTTTGCCAATAAATTTGCCCATAAATAGAATAAAATGGAAAAATTACTTGAAAGATACACATTACCAAAACTAAAAACGCAATAGGAAATCTGAACAGACTTTCCTGAATTCAAATAAATTCACAATTTAAAATCTTTCAACAAAGAAAATATCCAGTTTCAGATGACGTCTCTGATGAATTCTATCAACTATATAGGTAGAAATAATTAAATGGAGAAAAGTATTTTCAATAAATGGTGCTGGAACAACTGTATATATATGAAAAAATCTAATTCATAATGATCATAGACACACATCAAAGCTGAAACTATAAAAATTATCGAAGAGAACACAGGCTGGGCATGATGGCTCACACCTGTAATCCCAGCACCTTGGGAGGCTGAGGTGGGAGGATTGCTTGAGGCCAGGAGTTTGAGACTAGGCTGGGGAACAATAGTGAGATCTGTTCTCTACACAGTAAAATGTTTAACTAGTGTGGTGGTGCATGCCTGTAGTCCTAGCTATTCAGGAGGCTGAGGCGGGAGGATCACTTGAGCCCAGGAGGGGCTGTTTCTCTTGGATTTTTAAAGTAGACAATCATGTCATTTACCAATAATGACAGTTCTCTTTCCCTTTCAACCTTCATATGTTCCAATCACTTGTCTTTCTGTATGGTCTGGAAGAATCTCATGGAGAACTGGTGGCACGAGCGTGCTTTCTCTTGTTCCTAGCTTAAAAAAAAAAAAAAAAAGTCCTGACCAGTAGCGGTTCTAGGAGAGGGTAAGAATTTGCGGAAAATGTGGCGGAAGAGGGAAACGATCATTGTCAACAGTGAAAGGGGTCTCAGGGACAGAAGCATTTAGGAAAGAAAAGAAGATTGCTTGCCAAGACCTGGCAAATAAATCAGGCTTTAGAAGGACAGGCTTGCCAAACTAAAACCACAACAAGTATTGAAAGGGAAATTCTCCAAGATTACCATTGTGAGCACGTTTTTATCAGTCTACTCATGATGGCAAAACCCAGCGCTTTTCTCACATGATTTTCATATGCACGAAAGGTCATGACCTACCCAGGCGTCAGCATTGCAAACATCAGGGTTAGAGTTGTTTTTCTAGGGAGTCAGCAATTTATAGAAAATGCTCAATGTTTAGTTTATTTTGGGGACTAGAAGAACTATTTTTTTCATGAAACCCGCAAGCAATTTATCAGCGAAATTCTGTCTGCTCTACCTTCACAATATATCCAGAATCACAACACTTCTGACCACCTCATTTCTCACCTGGATATGACAGCAGCTTCTTACCTAGACTCTCTGTTTCCAGCTTGTTTCATCAAATTCACAACACAAAAGCCACACCGTTACAGTTAACATATGTCAGGTTATGTCATTCCTCTGCTCCAACCCCTTCAAAGTCTGCATCTCTGACTCAGAGTAAAAACAAGTCCTTAATAACAGCCAACAAGGCTCACATTTTCCCCCATCGCTCATCTACTCTTCTCCTCCCTGACTCACTTCTCTATAAAATCTCTGGCAAGTCTGTCAAATGGATGATCCTCATACACACCAGACGTTCTCCCACCTCAGGGCCTTTGCACTTGCTCTGCCCGCTCCCTGCATCACTCTTCCTGCCAGAGCCCCTTGTGACTTGCTTCCTTACCTCCTTCAAACTTTGCTCAGATATCACCTTCCCAGTGAGGCCTTTCTTGACACTCTGGTATGGTTTGGATCTGTGTCCCCGCCCAAATCTCATCTTGAATTGTAATCCCCGATGTTGGAGGTGGGGCCTGGTAGGAGGTGATTGGATTATGGGATGGATTTCTCATGAATGGTTAGCACCATCTCCTTGGTGCTGTTCTCATGATAGTGAGGGAGTTCTCGTGAGATCTGGTCTTTTTTTTTTTTTTTTTTTTTTTGATGGAGTCTTGCTCTGTTGCCCAGGCTGGAGTGCAGTGGCGCGATCTCGGCTCACTGCAAGCTCCGCCTTCTGGGTTCATGCCATTCTCCTGCCTCAGCCTCCCCAGTAGCTGGGACTACAGGTGCCCGCTACCCCGCCTGGCTAATTTTTTGTATTTTTAGTAGAGACAGGGTTTCACTGTGTTAGCCAGGATGGTCTCGATCTCCTGACCTCATGATCCGCCCGCCTTGGCCATCCAAAGTGCTGGGATTACAGGCGTGAGCCACTGCGCACAGCCGTGAGATCTGGTCATTTAAAATCTGATCCCCTGTCTTTTCTCTTGCTCCTGTTCTTACCATGTGAGGCACCTGCTCCCCCTTCATCTTCCACCATGATCATAAGTTTCCTGAGGCCTCCCCAGAAACTGAGCAGAGGCCGGCACCATGCTTCCTGCACAGCCTGCAGAACTACGAAGCAATTAAACCCCTTTCCTTGATAAATTACCGAGTCTCAGGTATTTATTTAGAGCAATGTGAGAATGGACTAATACATGCCCTATTCTTGAGGGACATTAAAAATCAACCCTATCTCATATCCCTGCTCTTTTTCCGCAAAGCACTATTGCCATGTGGCTTATGTATATTTTACTCATTTATTTTGTTTATTGGTGACCCACTAGAAGGTAAGCTCTATGAAGGCAGGACTTTTTTGTCTGTTTACTTTTGAACTCCTGAACTCTGCCTCTTGGGAAGGAAAGTGCTTGGCATGCCGTAGACTCAATAAGTACTCAAATGGATGAATAAATGTGTATAAGAGTGATTGGACGTATGTTTATTGCAGAACTATTTACAATAGGAAAGACTTGGAACCAACCCAAATGCCCATCAATGATAGACTGGATAAGGAAATTGTGGCACATATACACCATGGAATACTATGCAGCCATAAAAAAGAATGAGTTCATGTCCTTTGCAGGGACATAGATGAAGCTGGAAACCATCATTCTCAGCAAAGTAACACAGGAACAGAACACCAAACACCGCATGTTCTCACTCATAACCGGGAGCTGAACAATGAGAACACATGGATACAGGGAGGGGAACATCACACACCAGGGTCTGTCAGGGGGTGGGCGGCAAGGGGAGGGAGAGCATTAGGACAAATACCTAATGTATGCGGGCCTTAAAACCTAGGTGATGGGTTGATAGGTGCAGCAAACCACCATGGCACACGTATACCTACGTAACAAACCTGCACATTCTGCACATGTATCCCAGAACTAAAAAAAAAAAAAGAAGCTTCAAACCCACTGAACCAGACTGAAAAAAAAAAGTTAGTGAATGGAGAAATATCATGTTCTTTTCATGGAAGATTCAACAATGTCAAAATGTTGATTATCTCCAAATTAATATGTGAATACACTGCAAGACTGTGGTAGACACACAGAGAGCTACCCAGGTCCCCCTTCTAGGAAGGATGTGGTGACCCACTGTGGGGAGTGTAACCTGCAGACAGCTGCTTCCTGAGGTCACACCCATGTCAGGGCTGACTGCCAGTGACCGAAGGAGCTGGTGCTCTACAGGACCCTGTGGCAGTCCAATGCTGGACAGCTCCCGGGGGTGGCATTGTTTGAACCCAGAGCTCCCTGTTGGTTTGGTTGAAGCTCTCCAAAGTGCTGGGCTTCTCCCTCTGCCCAGCACCATTTCATCCACTTTCCTTTTCGAAGTGCTAATCCCTAATAAATAGCTTGTACCCCAAATTCAGCCTCAACCTTGGCTTCCAAAAACCGAACCTGCGACATATACTAATCAAAATACCGAATACCAAATAAAAACAAAACTGGCAACGACCTGGCCGGGTGCGGTGGCTCGCGCCTGTAATCCCTGCACTTTGGGAGGCTGAGGCGGGCAGATCATGTGAGGTCAGGAGGTCAAGACCAGCCTGGCCAATATGGTGAAACCCCTCTCTACTAAAAATACAA
Organism: Homo sapiens; assembly: GCF_000001405.40. Classification (NCBI taxonomy): domain Eukaryota; kingdom Metazoa; phylum Chordata; class Mammalia; order Primates; family Hominidae; genus Homo; species Homo sapiens. The sequence goes on along the minus strand of NC_000017.11, from coordinate 7,081,407 downwards.
GAATTAGCTGGGTGTGGTGGCGGGACCTGTAATCTCGGCTACTCGGGAGGCTGAGGCAGGAGAATCGCTTAAACCCAGGAGATGCAGTAGCCGAGATTGTGTCACTGCACTCCAGCCTGGGCAACAGAGTGAGACTCTGTCTCAAAAAAATAAATAAATAAATAAAATAAAAAAGAAAAGAAAAAGAAACAACTTAAATTTCTGATTTATTTCTGTCAATAGAGAAATGCTAAATAAATAAATTACGGTGCCTATGATGAAATGAGGTGCAGGTAGATCAAGTACATTTTATAAACTGATGTGGAGAAATGTTCCTGATAGCTTGTTAACTCCAAAAAAAAAAAAAAAAAGCACATAGCAGAACACAACCCCATGTACATACAAAATATAACCTAAAATGTATTTCTTCTCCTTCTCCACCTTGTAAGATACTCAGTTTCCTTCCTACTGAAAGGGATGTGCGCGTGGATTCAGGGCAGCTCCCTTAGGGGTTGAGCAGGGATCATGGGATGAAATGGAATCCTGTTCATGAAGACAGCGCCTGTGCTGAGAGCCAGAGCAGGGTGCCAAACTGTCTCCTTACAAGCTGTGAGTGATCTTGGGCTCTGAGCCTTTAGTCCGTCATCCAAAATGCCTCCCCAGGTGCTTGGGGGGAATGGTTGTGGAAGGTAAATGTCTGGCATAATCCTATCACAGATTACTCAATAAAATTTGCTCTTTTCCTTGGCTTCTCCCGTCCTATTAGGGCCAAGAAGTTCTATTCTCTGGCACCCCCTTCCCTCCTTCCGAGTGGAGTGAGGCGAGCGAGGCCACAGCTGAGCAGCCGAATGACTGGGACCCAGAGGATGCTGATGCCAGGGACTCAGGCCAGGATTGAGCAAGAGAACAGACTGGGCTTCTCTAGGATCAGAGGTGCGATGATGGAGACCCAACAATTCTGGGAAATGTAGAGGCAGGAAGTGAAAGGAAGTGTAGGGTAGAGGAGCAACAGCAGATTGTACCTCTGATCCAGCCCTGCTCCCAGATGGTAAAAATGAGGAAGCTCCGAGAAGAGGAAAGGAAGTAGGCATGGCCTGGAGGAGGAGAACAGAGCTGGCCTCAAACCCAACTCTCCCCACCCACACATGGTCTCTGTGTGTTCTAATCCCTGTTCATTCTCATTTACTGTCTAAAGTTGAGGAGATGGGATGTCCCAGATGATAGGGCTCCTGGGATTTCAGACCCAAGACCAGCAGGACTCCAGTCACCTCTACCCCAGCTCTCCAGGACACAGCGCTCCCAACTCTGAGTGACGTCCCACCTCTGGTCCTTGCAGCACAACCAACGTGGGAATCACACCCTCCAGACCTCCCACAGGTAATGGTGCTGCCGGTGCCGGTGAGACCCAGGGGACAGGGGATGTCAGAGGAAGCAGGGAGAGGGGGACTTTGGGTCTTGGGTGGGACTAAATGAAAATAAATATAAGGCGGCAGTGTGGGGTTTAATTACTACGTGGAGATTTGAGACTCTGTTCCCTTCACTGGATTCTAGATTGGGTTACGGCAGCCACAATCCCCTGTCATAAACTAAGACTCCGGGAGCTGAGGCAGGAGAATCTTGTGAACCCAGGAGGCAGAGGTTGCAGTGAGCCGAGACGGCCTCGTTGCACAACAGCCTGGGCGACAAGAACGAAATTCCATCTCAAAAAATAAATAAATAAAAATAAAAATAAACTAAGACTCAGACTCAGCCTCATTGGTGGCCCATTTCCAGCCTTATCTTCATCTCAGCCCAGCCATGCCCTAATCCCAATACTAACCCCAGCTTCTACATTTTCTTTTTTTTTGAGACTGAGTCTCACTGTGTCGTCCAGGCTGGAGTGCAACGGCACAACCTCGGCTCACTGCCACCTCTGCCTCCTGGGTTCAAGTGATTCTCCTGCCTCAGCCTCCCAAGTAGCTGGGATTACAGGCGCACACCACCACACCCAGCTAATTTTTGTATTTTTAGTAGAGATGGGGTTTCACCATGTTGGCCAGGCCGGTCTCAAACTCCTGACCTAAAGTGATCTGTCTGCTTCGGTCTCCCAAAGTGCTGGGATTTATAGGCGTGAGCCACCGCACCTGTCGCCCCCCACCCAGCTCCTACTTCAACCCCAACCCCAGAATCAACTTGAATTTTAACACCAGCCCAAAGCCAAAATTGAACCTCGACTCTATTCTGTTTCCAAATTCACCACCAAAGTTAACCCCAATTCCATCCATGGCTCCAACGTGCATACTGACCCCAATCCTAGCATGAGATACAACCTCCAGTCCTGCCTGATTAACTGGCCCACTGGGTAGTCCTAGCAATGCGTTTAGCTCCAACGTTACCCTCCAGTTTCACTCCCAAACTCAACTCGACCCCAATTCTAACTCGACTGCAAACCCAGGCTCATTTCCGTCTTAACCCTGGGCTCATTCTCAACCTGAGCCTCATCTCCCAACTCAACGTCAGCCCTGCCCTTGGCTCCAACTTAGTCCCAACCTCCTATTCCCCAGCTCCACCCCAGACTGGGCGCCGGCCCTGCCTCCATTTCAGCTGTGACAACCTCAGAGCCGTGTTGGCCCAAGCATGACAAGGACGTATGAAAACTTCCAGTACTTGGAGAATAAGGTGAAAGTCCAGGGGTTTAAAAATGGTAAGAGGAAAGGGGAAACTCTCCTAAAATGCCCTCTTTATATGTTTAGAAGGATTTCTCCTATCATTTCTGTACCTCCACCACGCGCACTGGTGGGTCCTAACTCTGAGGAGGTCAGGCCCCAGCCTCTGACGGGCCTAGTGTGAAGAGGATGCAAGGTCTCTAGAAAGACTGGGACAGGGAGGATCACAGTGGACCCAGCTTCTGATGCTCTGTGGGGTGGGGATGAGAGCTGCGCATTGGTGGAGGGAAAGATAAGTAGTTGGGTTTGGAAGGAAACTCATTTGTGAACCTGATTGTCCAGCAGGTAGGTGAGCATAAGCCCATGAAGGGCTGGCTGCCCCCAGCTCTCCCTGTGTCCTCCTGCCCCTGCCCCCAGCTCTGACCATGGGACCCCTCATATCGCTATCACGTGGGTCCCCAGGGGTGTGAGGGGCCTGTGTGACTGAGGACTTGTGCTGGTCCCTGAAGTCAAAGGCCTGGGCATCCCCCACCCCAAAATCCTCCTTGTCCAACCCTCCCCTGGAGTCCCCTGTGCCCAGCCCTCCTCACTAGACAGCTCCCTGGGCCCTCTCCTTCTCCCGTCTCCGGTGTCTGGACCCTCCTCATCCTGACACTCTCTCCTCTTGCAGGGCCACTTCCTCTCCAGTCCCTCCTGCAGCGTCTCTGCTCTGGGCCCTGCCATCTCCTGCTGTCCCTGGGCCTCGGCCTCCTGCTGCTGGTCATCATCTGTGTGGTTGGATTCCAAAGTGAGGGTCACAGGGGTGGACAGGGAAGAGAGAAATAATGGGGTAGAAGATAAATAATGGGGTGCTACAGTAGGGCAGTGGTGGGGCGATGGTGAGGTCCACAGTAGGAGCAATGCAGGGCACAGTGTTGGGGGCAGCTGTGGAGATAACAATGGGGCATGGTGAGGGCAGTGCTACCAACAGTCATGGGGGTCACAACAGAGCCACTGAAGCACTGATGGGGCACTGATGGAGTGATTGATGGGAATGGAGGAGAGGGCACTGATGGAGTGATTGATGGTAACGGTAGGGGGGCACTGATGGAGTGATTGATGGGGACGGTGGTGGGGGCACAGACGGAGTGATTTATGGGAATGGTGGGGGGCATTGATGGAGTGATTGATGGGAATGGTTGGGGGTCACTGATGGAGTCATTGATGGGAATGGTGGGGGGGCACTGATGGAGTGATTGATAGGAACGGTGGGGGGTCACTGATGGGGTGATTGATGGGAATGGTGGTGGGGGTCACTGATGGAGTGATTGTTGGGAATGGTGGGGGGCACTGATGCAGTGATCGATGGGAATGGTGATGGGAGCACTGATGGGGTGACTGATGGGAATAGTGGGGGGCACTGATGGAGTGATTGATGAGAACAGTGGTCGGAGCACTGATGGAGTGATTGATGGGAATGGTGATGGGGGCACTGATGGAGTGATTGATGGGAATGGTGGGGGGGCACTGATGGAGTGATTGATGGGGACGGTGGTGGGGGTAGTGATGGAGAGAGTTGACGGACCCATAGTCAGGATGGCTGCTGGCTTTGTCACTGAGTAGTTGGGTTATGTACTCAAATTACTTCACCTCTCTGAGGCTTAGTTTCCTCATCGGCAATATTGAACAATAATAGTGCCTGCCCCACTGGGTTGCCGTGAGGACCCAATAAGGCAATGCTTATGGAGGGCCCTGCTCGGTGCTGGTACAGAGGACCTGATGAATCCCAGCACTGACCTTCCCATCCACCTGTTTAGATTCCAAATTTCAGAGGGACCTGGTGACCCTGAGAACAGATTTTAGCAACTTCACCTCAAACACTGTGGCGGAGATCCAGGCACTGACTTCCCAGGGTGAGTCTGGTTTGGATGGGGCTCTGGGCTGGGGCCAGGCCAGGGAGGAGGAAGTTGACCCCTAAGCCAAGTCTCCGTGTCCTCCAGGCAGCAGCTTGGAAGAAACGATAGCATCTCTGAAAGCTGAGGTGGAGGGTTTCAAGCAGGAACGGCAGGCAGGTGAGAGACCCTCCGAGTATGGGTGTGGGGGGCTAGGCGCTCAGACACAGTGGAGGTGGGAACAGACTCCTGGTGCTGAACTGCCCTCCCCTTCAGCCAGCAGCTTGAAAGGCAGCATGCAGGCCGGGCGCAGTGGTTCACGCCTGTAATCCCAGCAGTTTGGGAGGCCGAGGCGGGTGGATCACGAGGTCAGGAGTTCGAGAGCAGCCTGATCGACATGGTGAAACCCCGTCTCTACTAAAAAAAATACAAAAAATAGCTGGGTGTGGTGGTGGGCGCCTGTAATCTCAGCTACTAGGGAGGCTGAGGCAGGAGAATTGCTTGAACACGGGAGGCGGAGGTAGCCGTGAGCCGAGATCGCGCCATTGCACTCCAGCCTGGGCAGCAAGAGTGAAACTCCGTCTCAAAAAAAAAAAAAAAAAAAAGAAAGAAAGAAAGAAAGGCAGCATGCTTTCTCTGGAGAGCAGGCTGGAGAAACAGGGGCAGAGGAATCCAAAGCAGATTTGATGGCTGTACCTGGCCATGATGTAGGGGGTGGGTGGGGGCGGGAAGGAACATTCCCTGGCTTGGCCCTGTGCAGGGGTATCTGAGCTCCAGGAACACACTACGCAGAAGGCACACCTAGGCCACTGTCCCCACTGCCCATCTGTGTGTGTCCCAGTTCATTCTGAAATGCTCCTGCGAGTCCAGCAGCTGGTGCAAGACCTGAAGAAACTGACCTGCCAGGTGGCTACTCTCAACAACAATGGTGAGGAAGGTATGGGGAGTACCTGGCCCTACTTTTCTGCCCATGGCCCACTGGGCAGAGCCTCAGCCTCTCCACCCTATCCTATTTCTCCCCAATCAGCCTCCACTGAAGGGACCTGCTGCCCTGTCAACTGGGTGGAGCACCAAGACAGCTGCTACTGGTTCTCTCACTCTGGGATGTCCTGGGCCGAGGCTGAGAAGTACTGCCAGCTGAAGAACGCCCACCTGGTGGTCATCAACTCCAGGGAGGAGCAGGTGAGGGCTTCTGGTACTCAGTTCCTAAGACATGTCCCATTTAGGGAAATGGTTCTTAAGCTTGGCCGCACATTGGAATCATCTGGGAGCTTCCAGAATGACTGTCATCTGTGCCACACCCTCAGAGATTTAATAGGCCTGAGCATCCAGAGAAACATCTCCAAACTCCTCAGTTGATTTAACGAAGAGCTAAAGTTGAGAATCACTAGTTTAAGGAGTTGGCTGGGATGGGAAGAAGTCACCACTGCCCTTCTGTCACCGCAGAATTTTGTCCAGAAATATCTAGGCTCCGCATACACCTGGATGGGCCTCAGTGACCCTGAAGGAGCCTGGAAGTGGGTGGATGGAACAGACTATGCGACCGGCTTCCAGTGAGTGCACCCTGGCTTTCTGTGCCAATGTCCTCCGTCAGCGTTTCCCCCAGGGATCTGACTGGCAGCCTCTCCTCCCCTGAACTGAATTCTACTCCATCTACCCTTCCTAGCTTGCTGTTGTCTTTTCCTCTCAGGAACTGGAAGCCAGGCCAGCCAGACGACTGGCAGGGGCACGGGCTGGGTGGAGGCGAGGACTGTGCTCACTTCCATCCAGACGGCAGGTGGAATGACGACGTCTGCCAGAGGCCCTACCACTGGGTCTGCGAGGCTGGCCTGGGTCAGACCAGCCAGGAGAGTCACTGAGCTGCCTTTGGTGGGACCACCCGGCCACAGAAATGGCGGTGGGAGGAGGACTCTTCTCACGACCTCCTCGCAAGACCGCTCTGGGAGAGAAATAAGCACTGGGAGATTGGAAGCACTGCTAACATTTTGAATTTTTTTCTCTTTAATTTTAAAAAGATGGTATAGTGTTCTTAAGCTTTTATTTTTTTTCCAACTTTTGAAAGTCAACTTCATGAAGGTATAATTTTTACATAATAAAAATGCACTCATTTAAAGAGTAGAGATGACTTTGACAAATATGCATGCCTAGGTGACTACCACTCCGATCGCAATAGATAACATTGCCATCGCCCCCACCAGTCCCCTCATGCCTCTGGGCAGTCCAACCACTTCCCTGTTTCCAGGCCAGTGATCTACTTCTTTTTCACTATTTATTGGCCTTGCCTCTTCTAGAGCTTCTAGAACTTCATATAAGTGAAATCATACACTCTCGTGTATATACTTCATATAAGTGAATATATACTCTCGTGAGAACTTACGTACTTTGTGTTGCTTGATTTTTGGCAATCTAAAAATGGCAGAGTGGAGAAGCCAGGTGAAGCCTTCGAAAGTCCTATGTGATTGAGAAAATAGCATTTTCTTCTCATATAGATTTGAGTTCAAATCTTTTCTGTCACTTAAAGATGGTATAAACTTAGGGTGATTAGGAAAAGCCATTGTTTAATTTCTCTGAAGATCCCAGAGTTGTTGGGAGATGTAGATAAGATCCCCAGGTGTATTGGTTAGCAATTGGTGTGTAACAAACCACCTCAAAGCTCAGGGCTTATACAGTAAGCATTTATTATAGCTCATGAGGCTATAGGTCTGGTCTGGCCAGGTTTGGGTCATCTTGGCTGGGCTTGTTTATGCGTCCGTGGTCAGCTGGTGGGTTGGCTTGGGGTTGGCTGGTCTAGGGTAGCCTTGCTCCCATGTCTCATATTTGGCTGGCTCTGGGCTGGGACAATGGGGATGACTGGGCCACATTAGCTTAGCCTGGCCTTGTTCACAGAATGGCTGGGTGGGGGTCCAAGAGAGAAATTGGAAGACTGCAAGGACTTCAGAGCCTTGCTTGGAACTGAAGCATCGTTTTTGCTGCATCCTATTGGCCAAAGCAGATTGCAAGGCTGCCCAGGTTCAAGGGCCAGAGAAATAGATTCCACATTTTGGTGGGGGGTTGGGGGGGGGTCTACAAAGTCATACTGTGTAGAGAATGGATATAGAGAGGGGTGGAGATTTCTGTTTTTTCAATCAATCCAGCATATACCAGGGAAGCATCTCAGCTATTTTGATTTTTTTTTTTTTTTTTTTTTTTGAGACGGGAATTTCCTTCTTGTTGCCCAGGCTGGAGTGCAATGGCGTCATCTCAGCTCACTGCAACCTCCGCCTCCCAGGTTCAAGTGATTCTCCTGCCTCAGCCTTCCGAGTAGCTGGGATTACAGGAGCCTGCCACCATGTCTGGCTACTTTTGTGTTTTAAGTAGAGATGGGGTTTCTCCAGGTTGGTCAGGCTGGTCTCCAACTCCCGACCTCAGGTGATCAGCCCGCCTCGGCCTCCCAAAGTGCTGGGATTACAGGCATGAGCCACCACACCCAGCTGCATTTCAGCTATTAAGAACCAACTTTTTAAGTTCATTAAGGGATGGCAGGACCCATTCATTGCTGTATTACTGTACCCAGAAAGCTCCCTGGCATATAGGAATGTCTGAATTAGCTGTCAGGATTTGCTGATGGGTTGTCTGAGGGGTTTGGGAAAATGAGAAAGTCAAGGATAATTCCAGGTTTGGGGCTTGAAAACCTAGAAGGATGGAGTCCCAGTTAATTAAGATGGGAAGACCGTGTGAGAAGCTGGTTTTGTGGGTGGGATGAGGAGATAAGAAGCTTTATTTTGAACATGTTGAGTTTGAGGAGCCTGTTAGACTTCCAAATGGAGTTTATTCTTTTTTATTTTTCTGTGTACCATAGTAAACATTTATAATTTTATTCAAAGGGTTTTTTTTTAATCAGTTCCAGCAAGATACAGGTGTCAAAACCAAAGGATTTATTTCTCTTTCTCTCTCTCTACATATATATATAGAGAGACAGGTTCTTGTTCTGTCACCCAGGCTAGAATGCAGTGGTGCGATCATAGCTCACTGCAGCCTTGAACTCCTGGACTCAAGCAATCCTCTCTTCTCAGCCTCCTGAGTAGCTGAGACTATAGATGTGTGCCCCCATGCCTGGCTAAGTTTATTTTTTGTAGAGATAGGGTCTCACTATGTTGCCCAGGGTGGTTTCAAACTCCTGGGCTCAAGCGATTGTCCTGCCTTGGCCTCCCAAACTGCTAGGATTACAGGTATGAGCTGCAGTGCTTGGCCACAAAAGGGTTTATTGAAAAGAGTTTAATGACATTTACAGAGTGTGAGCAGGGTTGAGGAAGCCAACAAAAGTTGGTGAAGTCCCTGTGGCTAAGAATAGCAGAGACATCACCACTCTGAAGCCTGAAGGCACAAAAGTAAAGAACATCCACCCAGATCATCCACCCAAGCAGCTCTGTGCCTCTCTCCCCTGGGTCTGAAAGATTTTGGATCATGGGAGAGAAGCCACCCAGCAGGAGCGTGAGATCACAGTTCTACCAGGGCCACAGAATGTAGAGGGGAGCAGGAGAACCAATACAAGTCAGTTCCCTCTAGAATTTCCTGACCTGGTAATTCTGCTACCTAAGAAAGCAAACAATTACATTCTCTAGTTTTGTACAGGTAACTGGACGGCGGAGGCAGGGAGGGCATTAGGGAAAATATGGAGAGGGCGACTTTGTGTTATAGGTGGAAATAACTGGGAAGATGGATCACAGATTGAACTAGTTATTGGAGGAGATTGAAATGATCTCTCCACTGACTTCCAGATTGGGTTGGACAGCCCCAAACCAATACAATCCCAGTTCCAGCCCCAACTGCAGTCCCAATGTCGGCTCTAAATTCATCCCTAAATTCAATCTCTGTCCCCACTGCAGCTCCAGCCTAGCTGTACTACACCCCCATGCTCCATCCCACATGTTTCCAATCTCAGCCCCAAACTCAGACCCAACTCCAAAGGAGCCCTGTCTACAATCTTAGCCTGAGACCCAATCTGATTTTTAGCCCCAAGTAAGTCAACCCCATCCTAACCCCAGATACAACCCCAATTGTGATCGCTGTTTCAACCTCACCTGCAAACCCAGCCCCCAGCCACATTCCTAGTTCTCACGCCTGGCTCAGCCACTATCGAATCCTCACTTCCTACCTCAAAACCAGCTCCACACCCACCTCCAGCCCTTATTTCAGGCTCCCCCTCGGAGCCCTTTCTCTGCCTCCATCTCAGCTCCTGCAGCCACAGAGACCACTTGGGCCAAGGATGTCAATGAAGTATGAAGATCTCAAGTGCTTAGAGAGTGAGAAGGAACATGATCTTAGAAAAGGTATGACAGGCCAGGTGCGGCGGCTCACGCCTGTAATCCCAGCACTTTGGGAGGCTGAGGTGGATGGATCACCTGAGGTCAGGAGTTCGAGACCAGCCTGGCCAACATGGCGAAACCCCGTCTCAACTAAAAATAAAAAATTGGGCCGGGTGCAGTGGCTCACACCTGTAATCCCAGCACTTTGGGAGGCTGAGGCAGGCGGATCGTGAGGTCAAGAGATCAAGACCATCCTGGCCAACATGGTGAAACCTGTCTCTACTAAAAAATACAAAAATTAGCTGGGCATGGTGGCGGGTGCCTGTAGTCCCAGCTACTTATTAGGCTGAGGCAGGATAATTGCTTGAACCTGGGAGGCGGAGGTTGCAGTGAGCCGAGATCGCGCCACTACACTCCAGCCTGGCAACAGAGCGAGACTCTGTCTCAAGAAAAAAAAAAAAAAGAAAAAGAAAAGGTAAGACAAGCAGAAGACCCCAGAGACAGGCCCACCCCTCAAAGTTTGCAGAGGCCTGAGCTAGTTCCTCTTGAGCTCACTTCCCTTTGCTCCCTTCCCTCAGCTCAGTCTTGCACCTTGAGGAGCCTGGGGGACACGTGAGGACACCTTCAGCATGGTCCACACCCTCCATTCACCCCCCCAACCTCTGCCCATGGCTACCACTTGAGCCTCAGGGTGGGCACACCAGGAGCAGGGTCTGCCACCCAGGGGACAGGCCCGGGGAAGACAGGTGTACAGCTGCCTGGGTGGACGATCTGGGCTCCCAGGTACCCAGAGGATGGTCTAGAAGGGCAGGTATGGCTTGGGGTGAGCACATCACCTTGGCCCTGGAGATTCCCAGTCCCACAGGAAGGGATGGAGTCACAGGAGGGCCAGTGAGGGCCCTCTAAAGTGTGAAGCCCAGGAGGTCTAGTCTAAGGATGGTGCCTCTCTCAGAGACAGTAACTCTTTCTTTCTTTCTTTCTTTCTTTCTTTCTTTCTTTCTTTCTTTCTTTCTTTCTTTCTTTCTTTTCTTTCTTTTCTTTCTTTTCTTTCCTTTCTTTTCTTTTCTTTCTTTCCTTCTTTTCTTCCTTTCCTTTCTTTTCTTTCTTTTCCTTCTTTCCTTCTTTCTTTTTTTTTTTTTTTTGATGGAGTTTTGCTCTTGTTGCCCAGGCTGGAATGCAATGATGTGATCTCGGCTCACTGCAGCTTCCACCTCCTGGGTTCAAGTGATTCTCCTGCCTCAGCCTCCTGAGTAGCTGGGATTACAGGTATGCGCCACCATGCCTGGCTAATTTCATATTTTTAGTAGAGACGGGGTTTCTGCACGTTGGTCAGGCTGGTCTCGAACTCCCAACCTCAGGTGATCCTTGGCCTCCCAAAGTGCAGGGATTATAGGCGTGAGCCACCGCGCCCGGCCGACAATGCCTCTATCTGCAATGAGGGGTTTCTCATGTCTCCCCTGTGCTGTAGCTCCAGGGCTCCTGGTTTTGGTCATTTCTGTGACTCCAGTATGGACTGTGGAGATCCCCCTCTCTGAGGGTTCAGGGCCTGGCCTCTGTGGTCCTAGTCTTCAGGGGAGTTAGGGTCCTCAGTGGCACAGGGACAGGAAGCAGGAAAAACATGGGTTATTTAGGAAAGTCTTCAAAGGAAGACCATAATTTCACCTGCTTTCACAGATGAGCGTGAGCCTATGAAGGGCCTGGCTGCCCCCAGCTCTCCCTGTGTCCTTCTGCCCCTTCCTCAGCTCTGACCATGGGACCTCACATATCTCCATTATCCCCCATCTGTGTGTGTGTGTTTGGTGGTCCCCACGGGTGTGAGGGGCCTGTGTGACTGAGGACTTGTGCTGGTCCCTGAGGTCAAAGGCCTGGGCATCCCCCACCCTGAAATCCTTCCCATCCCGCCCTTTCCTGGTGTCCTTTATGCTCAGCCCTCCTCTCTAGACAGCTCCCTGGCCCCTCTCCTCTTCCCGTCTCTGTCATGTCCTGGACGCTCCTCGTCTTGACACCCCCTCCTCCTGAGGGCTGCCTCCTCCCCAGGCCCTCCTGCAGCATCTGCACTCTGGGACTGCCTCCTCCTGCTGTCCCTGTGCCTCGGCCTCCTGCTCCTGGTTGTCATCTGTGTGGTCCGATCCCAAAGTGAGGGTCACGGGGTGGACAGAGAAGACAGAAATAATGGGGTGTAGTGGTGTGGTGGTAATGGTGAGGTACAGGTTTAGTGATGGATGGTCAGAGAAAAAGTCTTTTTTTTGCAAGAAAAAATCTTGCAAAAGTGTTGGAGCAGTGGTGGGACAGTGATGTGGTTTGAATCTATCCCTGCTCAAACCTCATGTTCAGTTGCGATCCCCAATGCTGGAGGCCTGTTAGGAGATAAATGGATCATGGGAGCAGTTTCTCATGGTTTAACACCATCCCCCTTGGTACTTCTGTCATGGTAGTGAGTTCTCGTGAGATCTAGTTGTCTAAAAGTGTGTAGCACCTCCCTGCTCTCTTTTCCTCCTGCTTCGGCCATGTAAGATGTCATATTTCCCCTTTACCTTCCGCCATGATTGTAAGTTTCCTGAGGTGTCTCGAGAAGCCAAGCAGATGCCACCATCCTTGCTGTATAGCCTGCAGAACCGTGAACCAATTAAACCTCTTTTCTGTATAAATTACCCAGTCTCAGGTATTTCTTTATAGCAGTGTGAGAACAAACTAATAAAATGGTACCAAGATGTGGAGCATTGCCATAAAGATACCTGAAAATGTGGAAGTGACTTTGGAACTTGGTAATGGGCAGAGGTTGGAAAAGTGTGGAGGGCTCAGAAGAAGACAGGAAGGTGAGGGGAAGTTTGGAACTTTCTAGAGACTTGTTGAATGGTTGTGACCCAAATGCTGGTAGTGATATGGACAGAGATGGCCAGACCAATGAGGTCTCAGATGGAGATGAGAAACTTATTGTGAATAGGGACAAAGGTACTTTTTTTATACTTTGGCAAAAATTTTGGTTGGATTGTGCCCATGCCCTAGGGATCTATGGAACCTTGAACTTGAGAGAGATGATTTAAGGTATCTGGTGGAAGAAATTTCTAAGCAGCAAAGTGTAGAAGATGTGGCCTGGGTGCTTCTAACAGCACATATTCATATGCATGAGCAAAGAAATGACCTAAAACTAGCACTTACATTTAAAAGGGAAGGAGAATATAAAAGTTTGGAAAATTTGCAGCTCTGCCACGTGTTAGAAAAGAAAAGCCCATTTTCAGGGGAGGAATTCAAGCAGGTCACAGAAATTTGCATAACTGAGAGGAAGGCAAGTGCTAATAGTAAAGAGAATGGGAAAAAATCCTCAAAGGCATTTTAGAGACCTTCATGGCAGCCCCTCCTATCACAGGCCTGGAGGCCTAGGAGAGAAGAATGGTTTATTGGGCCAGGCCCAGGGCTCTACTGTCCTGCACAGCCTTGGGACACTGGTCTCTGCACCCAGCTCTGGATGTGGATAAAAGGGGCCCAGGTACAGCTTGGGCTACTGCTTCAGAGGGTGCAAGTCATAAGTCTTGGTGGCTTCCATGTGATGTTAAGCTTGCAGGTGCACAGAATACAAGAGTTGAGGCTTGGGAGTCTCCACCTAGATTTCAGAGGATATATGGAAAAGCCTGGATGTTCAGGTAGAAGCCTGCTGCAGGGGTGGAGCCCTTATAGAGAACTTCTACTAGGGCAGTGGGGAGGGGAAATGTGAGGCTGAAACCCCCACACAAAGTCCCCACTGGGGCACTGCCTAGTAGAGCTGTGAGAAGAGGGCCACCATCCTCCAGATCCCAGAATGGTAGATCCACTAGCAGCTTGCACCCTGTGCCTGGAAAAGCTACAGGCACAATACTCAAAACTAGCCCATGAGAGTGGCTGCAGGGGCTGAACCCTGCAAAGCCATAGGGGCAGAGCTGCCCAAGACCTTGGGAGGCCACCCCTCACACCAGTGTGTCCTGGATGTGAGGCATGGAGTCAAAGGAGATTACTGTGAAGCTTTAAGATTTAATGATTGCCCTGCTGGATTTCAGATTTGCATGCATCCTGTAGCCCCTTTATTTTGGCTGATTTCTCCCTTTTGGAATGGGAGTATTTACCCAATGTATATACCTCCATTGTATCTTGGGAATAACTAACTTGTTTTTGATTTTTGCAGGCTTATAGGTGGAAGGTACTAGCCTTGTCTCAGATGAGATTTTGGACTGTGGACTTTTGAGTTAGTATTGGAATGAGTTAAGACTTTGGAGGACTATTGGCAAAGCATGCTTATATTTTGAAATGTGAGAAGGACATGAGATTGGGAGGGGCTAGGGGTGGAATAATATGATTTGGATCTATGTCCCCACCCAAATCTCATATTCGATTGTAATTCCCATTGTTGGAGGTGGGGCCTAGTGGGAAGTGATTGGGTCATGGAGGCAGTTTCTCATGGTTTAACACCATTCCCCTTGGTGCAGCTGTCATGATAGTGTGTGAGTTGTTTAAGTGTGTAGTACCTCCCCCTACTTTTTATTTTTTTCAGAGACAGAGTCTTGCCCTGTCACCCAGGCTGGAGTGCAATGGTGTGATCTTGGCTCACTGCAACCTTTGCCTCCCAGGTTCAAGTGACTCTCCTGCTTCAGCTTCCCAAGTAGCTGGGGTTACAGGTGCTCGCTACCATGCTCGGCTAATTTTTTTGTATCTTAGTACAGACGAGGTTTCACCATGTTGGCCAGGCTGGTCTTGAACTCCTGACCTCGTGATCCACCTGCCTCGGCCTCCCAAAGTGCTGGGATTACAGGCATGAGTCATTGAACCTGGCCAGTTCTTCCCCCCAGTTTCTTTCTCCTGCTTCAGCCATGTAAGATGCCTCACTTTCCCTTTGCCTTCTGCCATGATTGTGAGTTTCCTGAGGCCTCCCCAGAAGCCAAACAGGTGCCACCATGCTTCCTGTACAGCCTGCAGAACCATGAGCCAAGTAAAGCTCTTTTCTTTATAAATTACCCAGTCTCAGGTATTTCTTTATAGCAGTTAAAGAATGGACTAATATAGGCAATTATGGCAGAGTGTTTGGGGACAGTGATGAGGGCAGCTTTGGGCCAGCTGTGTGGCAACTGTGGGAGAGACATGAGGGCAGTGTTGGGCTGTGATGATGATGGTGATGGATCCATGAGGAGGCACTAGGTGTTTTGTAGTCAAACACACCAGAACCTTGAATCCTGGCTCTTTCTTACTAGTTGTACAACACGGACAGATCACGTTACCTCTCTAAGCCTTAGTTTCATCCTTTATAACATCAGGACTACGATAGTGCCTGCCCTGCTGGGTGACTGTGAGGACTGAAGGAGACACTGTGTGTGAGTGCCCTGCTCAGTGCTGGCACAGAGGCCACCTGATGAATCTCAGGTCTGAACACCCCAAACACATTCCCCACCTGATCAGTTTCTCCACATCAGATGGACCTGCAGTCCCTGAAAATTTTTCAGCCCTTTCATGTCAAGCAACGTGGGTGAGGTTCTGGCACTGAATTCCCAGGGTGAGCCTGGCTTGGAGTGAGGCTGGGTGGGGAGTGGGGGGAACTGACTCGTGGGGACTGAGTTCCCTTATCTTCCAGGTGGAAGCTTGCAAAAAATGGTGACTGCTCTGGAAATCAAGGTACAGAAACATGAACGGGAACTGCAAGCAGGTGAGAGACCCCCAAGGAGCGTGGGTGGAAGTGTCTGGTGGGCTCTCAGGACAAAGGCATGGGTGGGAGCAGCCTTGTGAGTGCTGAGCCACTGAGCCCCTCCAGCCTGCAGTGTGAGTGACACTACATGGTACAGTGTGGAGAACAAGCTGGAGAAGCAGGAGCAGGAACTCAGCAGGTTCGAGACCACCTTGCAATGTTGTGTGTGGAGAGTTTGAGAGCTGCTAGGGCCAGGCCAAGGCACTGTTGAAGGGATTAGGGGTGTCTGACCTCCTGGGACCTTTGCTGTCCCCCACTGCCCATCTGTGTATGTCCCCAGGATAGATGACCATGTTCCCCCAAGTCCTGCAGCTGGTGACTGACCTGCAATGACCTGATCTGTAACATGGCTGCCCTTGAGAGCCTCAGTGAGGAGGGCTCCATGCCCAGCCTTCATCCTGCCATGTTGCCCTCCCCCACGGGAACCTGGCCTCTATCCATCAGGCTCCATGGGAACCTTCTGCCCTGGGAGCTGGTTAGAGCCCAAAGACAGCTGCCACCGGCCATCCTGCTTTTAGGCATTTTGGCCCGAGGCTGAGAACACTCCACCAGCTGGAGAACCCCCACCTGGTTGCCGTCCACTCCAGGAAGAGCTGATGAGATCCCCAGCCTAGGAGCACCTACATCTGGGGTGGAGAGAAGTCAACACCACCCATGTGTGTCTCAGGTATTTGTCCAGACCTTCAAAGGCAGCATATATGTCAGGATGGGCCTCTGTGAATATGTGGGAGCTTGGGAATGAGGGACGACTCAGATGATGGGACACATTTCAGGTGACTGCACCATCCGCCTGTGGCTGGCACTCTGCTCAGCTTTGCCTTCACGGTCCGAGTTCACTCCTCTGTCCCTGACCCGGATGCTGCTCCACTGACCTTCACGATCACCTTGGTAGTCCCCATCTTCCCCTGGTTTAGAATCTACTCATCCTTCAAATGAGCCATGATCTTACTTATATGTGGAATCTAGAAAAGTCAAATTCGGCCAGGCGCGGTGGCTCATGCCTGTAATCCCAGCACTTTGGGAGGCCGAGGCGGGTGGATCACGAGGTCAGGAGTTTGAGACCAGCCTGGCCAACATGGTGAGACCCTGTCTCTACTAAAAATACAAAAATTAGCCAAGCGTGGTGGCGCATGCCTGTAGTCCCAGCTACTCGGGAGGCTGAGGCAGAAGAATCGCTTGAATCTGGGAGGCGGAGATTGCGGTGAGCTGAGATCACACCACTGCACTCCAGCCTGGATAACAGAGTGAGACGCTGTCTCAAACAAAACAGAACAAAATGACTTCTTTCAGGGTAGGCTGCCCCATTCCCTGTAGAAAAAGGAACTTCCTGTGGTTCTAAGTCCCTCTGTAACTCTGGGCTTCTTCCTCTGTGCTCCCATCCCCTGGCCATCGCTAGTCCAGATGTCTGCCCTACCTCATGGACAGAGCCCCAGGAGGGGGAACCACAGCTGCTCTTCCACTGATGTAATCTCAGCTCCTGGTGCTGGGAGGTGGGTGGAGGGAAGGAGGTTGCCAAGGAGCAGACATGGTATTCCACAACCCCAGGGCTCACACGGGAATTTTACTTAGTTCTCTCTGCCAGACCCTGGCAGTGCTCTGGTGCACACATTATCGCTAACAGCAGAAAACCACCTGGCCGACTCTGAATCACCAGTCACTGCTAGATTTTCTGTCCTTTTTGGCCTCGGTCAATTCTGGATTCTCTCCTTTCCCTCTTCGCCCTGTTTTTCTTGGGGATGATGTATCTCTTTGGAGTGGGGCCTTCTCCTTGCAGGTGTCTGCTTCTCCTTCTCTCTCTTCCTCCCCTGAGCTGTCCACACTTCTTTCTGTTCTGCAGGCTCCTGGTCACACAGGTCACCCTGCATCCCCCCTGCCGCATGTACCATGCCTGTGTGTCTGCTGGCTCAACCTTACCTCTTACACAAACCTCTGAGGATGCAGGAATCTTTAGATAACTCTCTTGCTGCTCTTTGGGGTGATGGGAGATTCAGAGTTTTTCTTCGGCTCCCTTTGCCCACACACCAGCTGTCATCCCTGCCTTCTGTCACTGGTGCCTGCTGCTGCAAGGGCGTCTCCCTGATGTCTTTTGCCTGCCCTTCACCTGAGAAGCAAAGCACAACCCCTTCTGCTCTGTTCAACCCCAACCCCATGCACATTCAATCATCCTTGTTCCCAGAAGTTCGACCCTATCAGTGGACAGAGCTCTGATCCCTTTTACAATGAACCACACCGATGACTCACTTTCTGATCCTCCTGTCTCTTTCCCCAGTGGAACTGTATCTCATTCTGCAATGCAGTGAGGCTAGCATTGGATTATTGTCTTATTTCTTATTTCTGGACTCAGCTTTAGGCAGTCACCTCTATGATCTGCATCCTGGAAACGTTGGCTGTTGGTGTTGAAAGTCAAACCTTTGAAATTCAAAAAATCTTTTCTCTCCTCTGTGGCCTGACTCTTGCCATCTAGAATCACCTTTTGGCTTTCAGGAGTTCGCTTTTGTTAGAGGTTTGAAAATCCATTCAGAAATGCAGCTGACTTATATTGTCTATTGTTCATACCCACCCCCAATTTAGGGCTGTGACTAAGGAGAGCTGTCACTGAGGCCTGAGTGGTGGGGCAGGATAATGCTTACACAGGGGTTTGATGATGGTGACAAAGAGACTTCATTGGCTGCTCCAAATATTATCTACTGTAGGCCTTTCATTTAATGTCTTTCTGCACTGCTTGGATTTTTCTACCTGCATACATTGTATGATTTAAATTAAAAGCCATCAGATAAATGAATAAGATCATGCTATAACGGTCACCCCCACAGTGAAAACAAAATCAAACAATTCAGCCTGATTGGGAGAGGATGATGTGGGGCAGGTTGCAGGCACCAGGGAGGGGCAGAAAGGGGAGGTTGTCACAGCTCTGAGAAGCTGGAATGCTTGGAGTGGGATTACGTTAAATTAGGGCATTCAGTTGGTGACAGGCTCCATACATTAAGCATACTCAAAGTGGGGCAGGGACTGGGAAGAAGCTCAGCTGATCGGGCACAGCTGATGCAACAAAACAGTGTTATTTTATTTTTATTTTTATATTTTTTGAGACGGAGTTTTGCTCTTGTTGCCCAGGCTGGAGTGCAATGGCACGATCTCGGTTCACCCCAACCTCCGCCTCCCGGGTTCAAGCGATTCTCCTGCTTTAGCCTCCCGAGTATATTTTATTTTTTTGAGATGGAGTGTGGCTCCGTCGCCCAGGCTGTGGCGTGCAGTGGCGCGATCTCAGCTCACTGCAACCGCCGCCTCCTGGGTCCAAGTGATTCTCCTGCCTCAGCCTCCGGAGTAGCCGAGATTATAGGCGTCCACCATCACGCCTGGCTAATTTTTGTATTTTTAGTAGAGACGGGGTTTCACCATGTTGGCCAGGCTGGTCTCCAACTCCTGACTGCAAGTGATCCGCCCGCCTCGGCCTCCCAAAGTGCTGGGATTATAGGTGTGAACTACCATGCCTGGCCAAAATAGTGATGTTTAAAAGCTACATTTTCACATATTAAAACAACTACCACCACCCTGAATGTTCCTCTGTCTGGCAAGAACACTTTTTTTTTTTTCCCGTTGAGACAGGCTCTCACTCTGTCACCGAGGCTGGAGTGCAGTGGCACTGTCACAGCTCACTGCGGTCTTCAACTCCTGGGTTCAAGGGATCCTCCTGCCTCAGCCTCCCAAGTAGCAAGGGTCACAAGTGTCTACCAGCATGCCCAGCTAATTAAAAAAATTTTTTGTAGAGATGGGGTCTTGCTATGTTGTCCAGGCAGGTGGCAAGAATGCTTTTTGAAAGAAGACTGTTCTTCAATTTTAGGAAACTTCTCATGCTGGCTCTTGAATTGTGCAAACACACCCTTTGTTATTCAAAGTTATACAAGACCCTCTTCTGAAAAAGGACTTTGGTTAGAAGGAGATAAAACTGCTCTTTGGTGATCATAAAAATTTTCTAGGTTGCTCCTAGAGATAAGGAGTTTTAGGTAAGGAGGGGATGAGACTGTGGAAGACATGTGTGGTGCTTGTTCGGCTGGACTGGTTTGAACTCCTATAATAGTAGAGTTCTATATCAGAAGGACTTTTGGAGCCAGGTGCATGGCTCACGCCTGTAATCCCAGCAATTTGGGAGGCCGAGGCGGGCGGATCACTTGAGGTCAGGAGTTGGAGACCAGCCTGGCCAACACAGTGAAACCCCGTCTCTACTAAAAATACAAAAATTAGCTGAGCGTGGTGGTGGGCACCTGTAATCCCAGCTACTCAGGAGGCTGAGGCAGGAGAATCACTTGAACCTGGAGGTGGAGGTGGCAGTGAGCCGAGATCGCACCACTGCACTCCAGCCTGGGCGACAGAGCGAGACTCTGTCTCAAAAAAAAAAAAAAAAAAAAAAAAAAAAAAAAGGAATTTTGGGTCATAAACTACAGAAAATCTTTGGATTTAGGTAATGCAGAGACTATTCATTATACAAAGGCGTCTCACACAAAAGACAGGTTGAAGTTCTAACCCCCAGTATCTCAGAAGTTGGTCTTACTTGGAAATAGGAAATAGGGTCGTTGCAGACGTAATAAATTAAGATGAGGTCATGTTGGAGTAGGGTATACCCTTAATCCAATATGGCTGGTGTCCTTACAAGAAGAGACACAGACACACAAGGTAAGAAAGCCATTGGCCAGGCATGGTGACTCACACCTGTAATCCCAGCACTTTGGGAGGCCGAGGCAGGTGGATCGCTTAAGGTCAGGAGTTCGAGACCGCCTGGCTAACATGGTGAAACCCCGTCTCTACTAAAATACAAAAATTAGCCAGTCGTAGGTTAGCGGGCTAATTAATTTTTGTACTAAAAATACAAAAATTAGCAGGCACCTGTAATCTCGGCTACTCGGGAGGCTGAGGCAGGAGAATCACTTGAACCCAGGAGGTGGAGTTTGCCAGTGAGCTGAGTTCATGCCATTGCACTCCAGCCTGTATGACAGAGCGAGACTCCTTCTCAAAAAAAAAAAAAAAAAAAAAAGGCTGTAAAAGAGGAGCTGTGCTTGTTACCTTCCTGTCGTGGGTGTTTCCTTGTGAGGGCAGGAGATTTGGAACAGTGGCAGCTGTCTCATGACTCTGAAGGGAAAGCTGAGTCAAGTCTGTTTAGCGGCTGTAACAAGGTGAATGCGGTGTGACCCTTGGCGGAAGGCAGAAAGCTGGGAGTTTAGCTGTCCACATAGTGGGTCCACCACTGGCTTAATGCCAGGCACTGAGTAAAGTGACCTGCACATCCTGCCTCTCATCTGGAATGAGAAGATACACTTATCTTACAGTTAACCTACTTCCAGGTTTGGGAAAAAAAGAATGGCAAGGGTTAACACAATCTGAAGCAAATATATGAATCATGCTAGAAAGGTAGACAAATGCTTCTAGTAGTGCCCCTGGGATTCTTAGGCTTTGAAATGTCAGAATGAGTCATAACTGGTCATGTTTTATAAGTGAAAAAGCAATCTCATTGTGTATTATTCGTGTGGTACATGATTACTTCATGGGGGTCTACAGGAACAGTCTATTGCCATTTGATAGAATGGTTTCAGAATGAGAAAAGAAACCCATTAAATAAATCAGAATGAGCAGTTGGCACCGCTTCTATCAGTTTTCCACAGGTTGATTTGCACCATCTAAGAATGACAGAGCAAGATATTTATACCTTCTATACACTCAGGCATAGCTACTACCACCTAAAATCAGCCCATTCAGAAGTTAACACACATGGCCGGGCACGGTGGCTCACGTCTGTAATCCCAGCACTTTGAGAGGCTGAGGCGGGTGCATCACCTGAGGTCAAGAGTTCGAGACCAGCCTGGCCAACATGGTGGAACTCCGTCTCTACTTATAAGTATAAAAAAAAATTAGCCTGGCGTGGTGGCAGGCACCTGTAATCCCAACTACTCTGGAGGCTAAGGCAGGAGAATCGATTGAATGTGGGAGGCAGAGGTTGCAGTGAGCCAAGATTGTGCCACTGCATTCCAGCCTGGGTGATAAGAGCAAAACTCCATCTCAAAAATAAAATAAAATAAAATAAAGAAGTTAACACATAAACTCTACAGTGTTTTTTTTTTGTTTTTTTTTTTTTTTTTGGAGACGGCATCTTGCTCTGTCCCCCAGGCTGGAGTGCAGTGGCACGGTCTCGGCTCACTGCAAGCTCTGCCTCCCAGGTTCAGGCCATTCTCCTGCCTCAGCCTCCCGAGTAGCTGGGACTACAGGTGCCCGCCACCATGGCTGGCTACTTTTTGTATTTTTAGTAGAGACGGAGTTTCACCGTGTTAGCCAGGATGGTCTTGATCTCCTGACCTCATGATCTGCCCACCTTGGCCTCCCAAAGTGCTGGGATTACAGGCGTGAGCCACCATGCCTGGCCAGCTCTCCAGTTTTATACCTTGACCATGATGAACTGAGACTAGGAATGGAGTAATTCTGTTCCAGAAGCTCACAAGGAACAGAATGAGATGAGACTGCCTTGGACGTCTGTAGAAAAACTGTTTAGATGGCAGTTGCAAAAAAACTGAAAGGAATTGTTCCCATACATCAGCAAAACTGTTGAGCTACATTTGGGTTCTGTCCCTCTATCAGAGGGACATGAGTGAATAGGAAGTGACCTCATTTGCCATTATGCTCCCCTGCCCTCTGACCACTCACATTAATCCAGAAATCTTTACCAGTTCACAACATCCAATCAGAGCAAATACTGAGGTAGAGGCAGGTCTCTACTTCTCGACGTAAGGAACTGGAATCACCCCTCTCTTGCCTTTGCTGTCCTCTGTGTTCCACGACTGCTCTTCAGGCTTTTATAAATTCTCAGGGTATCCTCCTTCTTAAGCGGAAAATCTTCTCCGTCACTTTCATTAAAGGCAAAGAGGGATTGAGTCATACGTACTCTGCCTCCTCCTGCCTGAGAATCAGCCTGGTTTCCTTCCTGAACCTAGAAGCTGGTTCTATCAACATTGTGGAATCCACATTGTGCAGGAAGACCAGTTAGAATTGAGCTGTAGTCATCTAGGCTGGGGAAGAGAGATACACATTCATTCATTGCTGCTACATTGATGCCTATGGACCATTGATGCCCATGCCAGATATGACAGAATGCCAGGTTCTTCACACACAGTGTAGGTGTTTCTTCTTGCCCCTTGGGCAGTGTATGTTTAGTGGGGGAGGGAGGAATTGCTGGTAAAAATCAGAACAAATCACATTACTAGTAATAAACAAAAAAACCTCACCAGATTCCCAAGAATAGTCCCCTTCAGGCACCAACAGGGAGTTCTAGATGGTTTAGTCAACACTCTTGGGCCGGGCGCGGTGGCTCACGCCTGTAATCCCAGCACTTTGGGAGGCCGAGGAGGGTGGATCACCTGAGGTCAGGAGTTCGCAACAAGCCTGGCCATTGTGAAACCCTATCTCTACTAAAAATACAAAAAATGAGTTGGGCGTGGTGGCGGGTGCCTGTAATCCCAGCTACTCGGGAGGCTGAGGCAGGAGGATTGGTTGAACTCGGGAGGCGGAGGTTGCAGTGAGCAGAGATCGCACCATTGCACTCCAGCCTCAGCAACAAGAGCGAGACTCTGTCTAAAACAAACCAAAACAAAACAAACCACTCTTGGTTTTCTATGCAACATTGACTATAGCTTTGTCCTCTCTTAACTGACCCCAACTGGTGTTTAGGAATTTATGTTATTCTACAACAGCAATGTAGGTACAGTATAACCTTCAGGTGAGGGTGGCTCCAGCCTAGTCCTAGAGGCAGGACCTGATGAAAGTAAGTCAATCATGGTGGAACCTTCCCCCTTGTCAGTGGCTGGTTTAATCATAGACATACGGCATAATTCTGTCAATGGCCGAGGGGCTGTCTGCTGGGGGCTGTAGGATAAAAGATCCTTGGTGCTAAGGGGCACACACTGGAAGAGACGTGCTCATTTTCCTCTGCACTTGGTTATGCCTAGATGCCATATCTGAAACTGCAGTAACCACGTTGCAACCTTACGAGGAAAAAGCTAAAACACTGAGGGGATAGACTGAAAATGTGGGAAGAACCTTAGTCTTTGATGATGTTATTGAGACACTGATAAGCTAATTTTGGAGCATTCCTAGCTCTAGTTTTATTGATATGTGGGATGCCAAAGACTGAATGTGTCTGTGTTTCCCTGTCCCCCAAATGTATATGTTAACTCCTAAAGCCTAATGTGATGGTATTTGGAGGTGGAGCCTTTGGGAGGCGACGAGGTCATGAGAATGGGGGACTCATGAATGGGATTATGACCTTATAAAAGACGCTCCACCAGGCATAGCGGCTCACACCTGTAATCCCAGCACCTTGGGAGGCCGAGGTGAGAGGATTGCTTGAGGCCAGAAGTTTGACACCAGCCTGGGGAAAAAAGTGAGACCCCCATCTGTATAAAAAAATGTAAAAGTGGCCGGGTGTAGTGGCTCACGAGGTCAGGAGTTTGCCAGCACTTTGGGAGACCGAGGCTGGTGGATCACAAGGTCAGGAGTTTGAGACCAGCCTGGCCAAGATGATGAAACCCCGTCTGTATGAAAAACACAAAAATTAGCTGGGCGGTAGTGGCGGGCACCTGTAATCCCAGCTACTTGGGAGGTTGAGGCAGGAGAATTGCTTGAATCTGGGAGGCAGAGGTTGCAGTGAGGCAAGATGGCACCACTGCACTCCAGCCTGGGTGACAGAGTGAGACCCTGTCTCAAAAAAAAAACAAAAAACAAAAAAACATACCCTTAAATAGCCCTTACTTCTTGCTAGGAATTGTTCCAAAAACTGTACAAATAGGCCGGGCGCGGTGGCTCACGCCTGTAATCCCAGCACTTTGGGAGGCCGAGGCGGGCGGATCACGAGGTCAGGAGATCGAGACCATCCTGGCTAACACGGTGAAACCCCGTCTCTACTAAAAATACAAAAAATTAGCCGGGCGTGGTAGCGGGCACCTGTAGTCCCAGCTACTCCGGGAGGCTGAGGCAGGAGAATGGCGTGAACCCGGGAGGCGGAGCTTGCAGTGAGCCGAGATCGCGCCGCTGCACTTCAGCCTGGGCGACAGAGCGAGACTCCGTCTCAAAAAAAAAAAAAAAACTGTACAAATATTAACTCCTTTAATCCTTTCAACATTCCTAAGAAGTCGTGCTAATAGTAACAAGGTACTATCATTATTGTCTTAACTCATTCGGGCTGCTATAACAAGATACCTTAAACTATTAATTTATAAGCAACAGAAATTTGAGCCAGGTGTGGTGGCTTATGCTTGTAATCCCAGCAGCTCTGGAGGCTGCGGTGAGAGAACTGCTTGAGGCCAGGAGCAGTCTGGGCAACAAAGTGAGACGCATCTCTGAAAAACAAACAAAAACCACAGAAATTTATTGCTCACATTTCTGGAAGCTGGGAAGCCAGAAGATTTGGTGTTTGGTAAGGGCTTGCTCTCATAGATGGCACCTTCTAGCTGTGTCCTCACAGGGCAGAAGGAGTGGACAGGCTGCCTCAGGCCTCTTTCATAAGGGCACTCAATCTCATTCACAAGGTCTTCATCCTCATGAAGGCCTCAGTCACCTCCTAAAGGACCCACCTCTTAATACTTCGCATTGGGGACTAGATTTTTTTTTTTTTTTTTTGAGATGGAGTTTCGCTCTTGTTGCCCAGGCTGGAGTGCAATGGCATGATCTCGGCTCACCACAACCTCCGCCTCCCAGGTTTAAGCAATTCTCCTGCCTCAGCCTCCCGAGTAGCTGGGATTACAGGCATGTGCCACCGTGCCCGGCTAATTTTTTTGTATTTTTAGTAGAGACAGAGTATCTCCATGTTGGTCAGGCTGATCTCGAACTCCTGATCTCAGGTGATCCGCCCACCTCGGCCTCCCAAAGTGTTGGGATTACAGGCGTGAGCCACCGGACCCGGCCTGGGATTAGATTTCAACATATGAATTTGACGGGGAGAGGCACAAACATTAAGATCATAGCAATTACCATCTTTTTTTTCCTCAAAAGTAGGAACTATTATAATTTGCTTTGGGGATGAGGGAACTATTGCAAAGAGAGGTTGAATAACTTGCTCTAGGTTATATAGCCAGTAAGTACCAAAGCCAGGGCTTGAACCCAGACAATCTGGTTCCAGGGTTCGTGTTTGTCCCACCATGTTATGTTGCCTCTTAATAACATATACTAAAATACACTCACATTCCACACTAAATATATTTTTACAATTAAAAATTTAAAAGATTTCTTTTTTTTTTTTTTGAGACGGAGTCTTGTTCTGTCGCCCAGGCTGGAGTGCAGTGGTGCGATCCCTGCTCACTGCAAGCTCCGCCTCCTGGGTTCACTCCGTTCTCCTGCCTCATCCTCCCGAGTAGCTGGGACTACAGGTGCCCGCCACTACACCCGGCTAATTTTTTTGTGTTTTTAGTGGAGATGGGGTTTCACCCTGTTAGCCAGGATGGTCTCGATCTCCTGACCTCGTGATCCGCCCACCTCGGCCTCCCAAAGTGCTGGGATTACAAGCGTGAGCCACCGTGCCCGGCCCAAAAATTTAAAAGATTTCTAAGATTTTTTGCCGTTTAAAATCTTAAAAGGACGTTTATTCTTTTAAAGGATTGTTTGTCTATAAGAAACTCAGTGAATCTATGATTGGCTCTGATTTCTCAGCAATCACGATAAACATTTAGGAAATCCTGCAAAGTGAAAAAAAGCTTCAAATTGTTTTCCAATGTAATGAAAATTTAGGAACATGAAATTTAACAAAGAAATGGACTAATATTATGTTTTGTAGACATTTTTAAAAACGCTTTAATATTCATTACTTTAGATTTTTAAGTTTGCCTTTTGTATTTGGAAATCGGTACACTTTTTCATATCCCTAGCATTTCTGTAAGCATGGGGAATGCTTTTAGCCCTAAGCCCTGCATACTTAGGGAATAAATATACTCTCCTCAAGGACAACAGGGAAATAAACCCAGAAACCACATGCCATGCAAGAACAGCGGGGCTTTATGAGTCCTGGAGCTCAGGTGTCAGCCCACTCTGCTGCTCACTGTGTTCAGCACTCACTGGCCACAGTCCTGAAACATCAGCTCTTGGGGCGGTGGCATCAACTTCCTATCTCCCAGATCCCTGGGCCCAGGGAAGGGGAAGCTGATTACCCATAAATCAGGGTGCTCGGCCGGGCATGGTGGCTTAAGCCTGTAATCCCAGCACTTTGGGAGGCCGAGGCAGGTGGATTACCTGAGCTTGGGAGTTCACCACCAGCCTGGGTAACACGGTGAATCCCTGTCTCTACTAAAATACAAAAAATTAGCCGGGCATGGCGGCATGTGCCTGTAATCCCAGCTACTCGGGAGGCTGAGGCAGGCGAATTGCTTGAACCTGGGAGGCGGAGGTTGCAGTGAGCAGAGATTGCGCCACTGCACTCCAGCCTGGGTGACAGAATGAGACTCCATCTAAAAAAAAAAAAATCAGAGTCCTCTTTCTACGTACCCAGTTGATGAGATGCCCGAGGCCCCGCCTCACCTCTCTGTAGGCCTGTGCAGGTGTGATTTCCCTCCAGGTGAGACCATGACACCCGTCCCTCACAAATGTGTTTTAAACCAGAATCGGTCTCATTGCAAGGGACTCCTGATTGTGAATGGAGGAGAGAAAGATAGGATGAAAGCTTGAGATGGAGGTAGCTAAAGCTGGGTATGGCTCTTTGAATGGGATAGAGGGAAGGAACCCTAAAGAAGAGATGCTGCCCAGCATTTAAAACGTTTTGACAGTAGGGGAGAGGCAGGAGAAAGCTTTGCAGAGGAAATGGCATGGAGATGTGGGCAGGGGCAAAGGAGATTCATGGCCAACAAGAGGTACAGAAAGGAACGCACTGGGAGGGACAAGATCCACCTGCACAAGGACAGGAAGAGGCTTGTGTGGCATCCACTGCAGCCAGTTGCAGCCTCTTCAGCGTCTGGGCCCTTCTATGACTTTGGGACTTTCTCAGGGCTTAGCCCCCACGCGACTCCTCCCAGTGTTCACAAAGGCATTTCTGCCTTGGGGCAAGAAAACAGGCACCATTTGCTTACTGGGCCCCCAAAACTCTGCCTTGCATATGTCAGATCCTCCAAGATGTGTAATTTACATCCCTGCAGAAAACCTGTTATCTGACCTCCTGTCCCCTCCTGCCTTGGCTTCTGGTCCTGGTTGATATTCCTTGGGGAGGTAGAGACTCTGGCCAGGCAGGGCTGCTGCAGCCCTAAGGGCTGATGTGGGTTACCATGTCCACTAAGAGCCTGCATCCTTCAAGTCAGATGCCCAGGTCTCAGGCTGAGGCTGGGAAGGCAGACAAAGGGACCCAAAAAACTCAGGTAGCTGAGAGGTTGGTATAGCAGCAGGGAGATGACAAATATCACCTTCTGGCCCCTTCTGGTCTGACTGCCCCTCACAAATCCAGACAGGAGGGGCATAGTGACTTGGAGTAGAATTGGACTGGCGTAGAGATGAAAGGGTGGCTACCGGTGGCTAGAAAATGGGATGGAATGAAATGGATGGGAACCTACATTTGTAGGACGCCTGCCCTGTGCCTGGAGTTGTGCTGGGTCCTTCCCAAGCTTTACTTCACTGAAGTCTCACCAACAATCCTTTGAAGCATTGCCCCCTTTTTATAGATGCCTGGAAATGGTGGGAGTCGGAACTCAGGGACTGTGCTTTTAATAACTCACCAGGTCTGGCTGGGCACAGTGGCTCATGCCTGTAATCCCAGCACTTTGGGAGGCCGAGGTGGGTGGATCACGAGGTCAGGAGTTCGAGACCAGCCTGGCCAATATGGTGAAACCCCGTCTCTACTAAAAATACAAAAATTAGCCGGGCATGGTGGCGGGTGCCTGTAGTCGCAGCTACTCAGGAGGCTGAGGCAGGAGAATCGCTGGAACCCGGGAGGCGGAGGTTGTGGTAAGCCGAGATCGTGCCACTGCACTCCAGCCTGGGCGACAGAGGAGACTCCATCTCAAAAAAAAAAAAAAAAAAAAAAAAAAATCACCAGGTCCGATTGGATTCTCATTCCTATTCTAATAATCCATTTTAGTTGGGCTTACACAGTTTTAGGATATTTTTGGCCTTCTTGCATCTGAAGCCTTTAAGAAAATTTCCACCTTATTATTATTAGTTTTTTTTTTGAGATGGAGTCTCACCCCATCATCCAGGCTGGAATGCAGTGGCGCGATCTCAGCTCACTGCAACCTCTGCCTCCCTGGTTCAAGCGATTCTCCCACCTCAGCCTCCCAAGTAGCTGGGATTACAGATGCGTGCCACCACATTTGGATAATTTTTGTACTTTTAGTAGAGGTGGGGTTTTGCGATATTGGCCAGGCTGGTCTCAAACTCCTGACCTCAGGTGATCCACCTGCCTCGGCCTCCCAAAGTGCTGGGATTACAGGCGTGAGCCACCGCGTGCCCAGGCCCACCTTATTATTTTTGAAGGGAGGCAGAACCCATCTGTCTATAGACACTGAAAGCACTAGGTTCTCACTCTTCCTGCCACCCCTTCCAGCTAGGATGAAAGCACGTGGCCTAGGTTCCGGTGGTCAGGATCACTGGACTTAGATTTGAGGGCCCAGAAGCAGAGAACACGTCCGAGGAGCAGCAGCTGTTTCCAGGCCCAGTGGTCACAGAGGGCTGCCAGCAGCGACATCTAGTGTCCTGTGGTGATAACAGCGGCTTTAGCAACCCATTATAGGCTCGTGGCCTCTGCTTCTGCCAATCTTGGCTCTGTAGGTTTCTTGGTGATTTTGTGAACTACGCAGTATCCTGTAATAAATCATTTCTTTCCTTAAATAAGTCAGAGTTAGTGCCCATGGCTTACGACTCACAACTTTGATACAGATGTTGGCCAAAGTCCCAGACTGTTAATAGAATATGCCAGGTAAGACACATTTAGGCTGGGCACGGTGGCTCACGCCTGTAATCCTAACACTTTGGGAGGCTGAGGTGGGCGGACCACCTGAGGTCAGGAGTTTGAGACCAGCCTGGCCAACATGGTGAAACCCCATCTCTACTAAAAATACAAAAATTAGCCAGGCATGGTGGCGGGCACCTGTAATCCCAGCTACTTGGGAGGCTGAGGAAGGAGAATCACTTGAACCCGGGAGGCAGAGGTTGCAGTGAGCCAAGATCACACCATTGCACTCCAGCCTGGGCAACAGAGCGAGACTCCGTCTCAAAAAAACAAAACAAAACAAAATAAAACACGTTTGGAGATTTAGACACAGACCAGGTGCAGAGCCTTTAGCTGGGCACTTTCCCCTACTGTCCCTGATCCCCTGTCCTGGATTCTGGGCTGTCCAGAGAGACCCAGGAATCAGGTCCTCCAGACCCCCAACATGTAATAGGGTGGGAAGGGGATGGTGACGACAGAGGGAAGGGATGAGGCCTGGATTGGAAAAGGCACTGGAGACAGATTTGGTAGAGGGTATAAGAAAGGAGTAATGTAAACACAAAAATTAGCCGGACGTGGTGGTGAGCTCTTATAATCCCAGCTACTTGGGAGGCTGAGGCAGGAGAATTGCTTGAACCTGGGAGGTGGAGGTTGCAGTGAGCCGAGATCATGCCACTGCACTCCAACCTGGGTGACAGAGTGAGACTCTGTCTCAAAAAAAGAAAGAAAGAAAGAAAGAGAAAGAAAGAAGAGTAATGTGAGGTAGGATTCCCAGCCCATCCAAGGCCTTGGCTCCAATCCAGCTCCAGCCTTAGCTCTGTCTCATCTGTGCCCCCTCAACCCTATTACCAGCTTCCCCACAGCCTCAGACTCAGCAAAGTCCTACCGCAGTCTCAGTCCCCACACAAGGAAGGCTCAGGAGACTCGGCTCCATCTCCCTTCTTCCAGTTGATATGGTCGTCCAAGCAGACTTGTTCCCGATACACAAGGAGCCCCTGGCCTCCTGCTTCAATGACCCACTCCCCATTTCAGAGCATCTCAGCGACGTGCTACCTGGCCCTGAGCCACAAACCCTGACCTTTGTGTCCTTATCCCCTCTGCAGGTCGTGTGCTTCTCCCACTTTTCCAGGCCCTGGTGTGGGCTTTAGATCTACGCTGACTTTCCACGGCCTGGTCTCTGGGTGATCCAGGGAAGAGGGCATTCTGGGGGGTGAGGGGTGAGAGGCAGCTCTATTAGGTCTTAGAAACCCAGGCCAGGCGCAGTGGCTCATGCCTGTAATCCCAGCAATTTGGGAGGCTGAGGCAGGCGGATCACTGGAGGTTGGGAGTTCGAGACCAGCCTGACCAACATGGAGAAACCCCATCTCTACTAAAAATACAAAATTAGTCAGGCGTGGTGGCACATGCCTGTAATCCCAGCTACTTGGGAGGCTGAGGCAGGAGAATCGCTTGAACCCGGGAGGCTGAGATTGTGGTGAGCCGAGATCATGCCATTGCATTCCAGCCTGGGCAACAAGAGTGAAAATCAGTCTCAAAAAACAACCCAAGATCAGCTGAGCCAAGCAGTGTAGAGCCTCATATTTCTGAGCACCCCAAATAGAGGAATGTTTCCTGTGGGTAACGCCACTCACTCTTGCCTGCCCGCCTCCCTCCCTGTCCACCTTCTGCAGCGGGAGCCCCTTGGTGGGGGTGCTGGGAAATAGAGGGGCTTAGTTCAGGGCTTCCCTGAGGCTGCAGACTCCAGAGGCCCCGAGAACCTCCGGCAGGAGTTCCCATGAAAAAGCCCCAGAGCAGTTTTAGAGTTTGCAAACATGGACGCATTCCCAGATCCTGTGGTCCCCAAAGCAAATGATGTGCCATGCTTGACACTCTTTTACGATCTCCCTATAGACTTCATCTAGCTCAGCATCTGCTTTGAGGGCTGTCCCCACATGGGCAGGCCTTCGTGGTTTGGTCCATCTGCGACTCTTTCCTGTACCACTGCTGCATTCTGTGGAGCACCAGGCACGGAGTCCACTCATTCAATGACTCCTT
Organism: Homo sapiens; assembly: GCF_000001405.40. NCBI lineage: Eukaryota > Metazoa > Chordata > Mammalia > Primates > Hominidae > Homo > Homo sapiens. The sequence continues at coordinate 7,049,956 of NC_000017.11, read as the reverse complement.
TGTTCAATGTTTCTCTCATTCAGTGATTCATCACTCACCTTTGGCATCTTTGTGTGTGAGAATTCCAGAAATCGGGCTGGGCACAGTGGCTCACGCCTGTAATCCCAGCACTTTGGGAGGCCGAGGCGGGCAGATCACGAGGTTAGGAGATCGAGACCATCCTGGCTAACACAGTGAAACCCCGTCTCTACTAAAAATACAAAAAATTAGCCGGGCGTGGTGGTGGGTGCCTGTAGTCCCAGCTACTCGGGAGGCTGAGGCAGGAGAATGGCCTGAACCCGGGAGGCCGAGCTTGCAGTGAGCCGAGATTGTGCCACTGCACTCCAGCCTGGGCAACAGAGAGAGACTCGGTCTCAAAAACAAAACAAAACAAAACAAAAACAAACAAACAAACAAAAAAAGTAGAATGAAAAATTCTGCATGAATTTTTAACATAAAACAAGATATTTCAAAGAAATTTCCCACATGCAAAAGGCGAACTCTCCTTGCGCCTCTGATTGTGGCATGACTCATCTCTCCTCTGTATTCAGCTTCCATTATTAGTGAGTATTAGTGAGTGCTACTTCATTGGACATTTTGGAGTAGTATCAGCCTCTGGAGGAATATCCTTAGCCTGGCCTTCAAGGCCTTTCAGACGGGACCCTCTGCCCAGCAGCTTAATCCTACATTATCCTCCTACACATGCTCGGTTCTCCACACAGCGGCTATTTATAGCTCCCCAAACAATAAACAATGTGCCAAGCTGGTTCATGCCTTTGTGATTTTCCACAAGCTGCTTCCTTTGCCTGGAACGCCCCTGCCCACAGATCCATCTGGCAAACTCCTACTCATCCTTCAAGACCCAGCCCAAGGGGCTCCTCTTCTGTGAAGCCTCCCAGCAGTCCTAAGAGGAATGAGTCAGTTCTTCCCATGCACCACTCTACGGTGTATGTGTCCCCGTCCTTGTGCTGAGAATTCTTTTCTTTATGTGATGATCCTCTGATTTGATTGTGGGGCTGGGAGGGGAGAGACTATATCTTATTCACATTTGTATCCCGAACCCTAAGCATAGCAGCTGGCACGCGGTAGCTGTCTATAAATATTTTGTATGAAGGACTGAATGAATAAAACTTATTTTGACTTTTTTCTTCTCTATTATTTTTTATTTATTTTTATTTTTGAGATGGAGTTTTGCTCTTGTTGCCCAGGCTGGAGTGCAATGGCGCGATCTCGGCTCACGGCAACCTCTGCCTCCCAGGTTCAAGCAATTCTCCTGCCTCAGCCTCCCGAGTAGCTGGGATTACAGGCGCCTGCCACTACGCCTGGCTAATTTTGGATTTTTAGTAGAGACGGGGTTTCTTCATGTTGGTCAGGCTGGTCTTGAACTCCCGACCTCAGGTAATCCACCTGCCTTGGCGTCCCAAAGTGTTGGGATTACAGGTGTGAGCCACTGCGCCCGGCCTTCTCTTTTGTTTTTAGAGTTAAGGCAGGGAGACCAGCATTTTCACACAAACTTTGGAAAATGCTAAGGGAAAAGAAAGAAGAAAAGCAGAAATTTCCATTGAATCTCTTTATAGCCATTCACATTTTCTAACCCATGTGGCTCTACTGAGAACTTACCAGGGCAATGTGGTGCCTTGACCTTGAGGCATGGGCAGAGGTAGCCAGGTGGGAAAGGGCTGCCGTGCTGTTAGGTCCAGCCAGGTTCCTCAACTCACAGCAATAGCGGCAATGGAGGCTGAGCGCGGTGGCTCACACCTGTAATCCCAGCACTAAGGGAGGCTGAGGTAGGTGGATTACTTAAGGTCAGGAGATCAAAACCAGCCTGGCAAATATGGTGAAACCCCGTCTCTAATAAAAATACAAAAAAATTAGCTGAGTGTGGTGGCGGGCACCTGTAATCTCAGCTACCTGGGAGGCTGAGGCTGGAGAATTCACTTGAACCTGGGAGGCAGAGGTTGTGGTGAACCTAGATTGTACCACTGCACTCCAGCCTGGGCAATAGAGCAAGACTCTGTCTCAAAAAAAAAAGAAAAAAAAAAAAAAAGAAAGAAAATAGCGGCAATGAGCTCTAACACGTATACTTTGGCACTGTTCTAAGTTCCTTACTTATATGTGTATTCACAGTGACTCATTTAATTCTTATAACAACCCATCAGGTAGCTACTGTTATTACCCCCATTGTAGAGATGAGGAAACCGAGGCACAGAGAGGTTGAGTCACACTTGCTCATAATCATATAGTTACTAAGTGGTAGAGTGTGGGCGAAAGATTACGTAGATGCCGAGGCAAGAGACTGAAGGCACAAACTGTTTCAGTGTAATAAAGAAAATAGAATAAAAATAGTCATAATACAAATGAGATATAGAGATGATCATGGACAATTATCAATCATTATTATAGACATTATTAATCATTAGCTTTTAATATTACTTTTTGTTGCATTACTAATATAACCTACGAATAACCGGCAGGTATAGGGTCAGGTGATGAAGGGACATTGTGAGAAGTGACCTAGAAGGCAAGAGGTGAACCTTCTGTCACGCTCGCATAAGGGCCGCTTGAGGGCTCCTTGGTCAAGCGGTAACGCTAGTGCCTGGGAAGACACCCATCACTTAGCAGATCGCGAAAAGGAGTGTCCTTTCCTTGGAGGAGTCAGGGAACACTCTGCTCCAGCAGCTTCTTGTGGAAGGCTGGATATTATCCAGGCCTCCCCGCAGTCATCCGGAGGCCTAAACCCCTCCCTGTGGGGCTGTGCTTCAATGCTCACGCTCCTTGTCCACTTTCATGTTCCTCCCGTACTCCTGGTTCCTCTTTGAAGTTCGTAGTACAGAGCGGTAGATGAAATAGTGAAAGTCTAAAGTCTTTGATCTTTCTTATCAGTGCATAGAAGAAAACGCTGACGTATGCTGCCTTCTGTCTCTACTTCGGCTACCTAAAAGGGAAGGGCCCTCCCGTCCTGTGATCACGTGACTTGCTGCACCTTGTCAATCACTTAGAAGATTCACCCTCCTTACCCTGCCCCCTTGTCTTGTATGCAATAAATATCAGCGCAACCAGCCGTTCGGGGCCACTACCGGTCTCCGCGTCTTGATGGTAGTGGTTCCCAGGGCCCAGCGTCTTTTCTTCTATCTCTTTGGCTTGTGTCTTTATTTGTTACAATCTCTCATCTCCGCACACGGGGAAAACACCCGCCAAGCCCCGTAGGGCTAGACCCTACAGTAGAGCTGGCATTCAACCTCAAGAAATCTAGCTTGGGAGTCCATTCTCCTAATCTCTGTGCTATTTTACCTCCGTGAGCAAAAGATGACAAGTTTTGCTAAGAATATAGGGAGCCTGAGGTAGAAGAGGAATGTGCTCTTTCACAGCCCTAGTCCCAGGCTCTGGGATACCCTTCTGGCTTCGTAAGCATCCTGCGAAGGTGCGCAGCATCACTTAGCACAACTCCCAGATGCGGAGGGCCCGGTCTTCGCTCTGACTGTCCTGCATTTCTGCGTCACCATGGGGAGACAGTGATTCGTTTAGCTTGGAGCAGAGTCTTCAGCAGCCTTCTCAGGAAGCGGGATCCCTGCCCTCCCCGGTAGCTGAGGACCTGCTGGCTCCGCCTCCCTGGTGGCTTTCATAACAGCACTCCAGGCTGGGGAAACCGGTGGGGCCACTTTCCTAAGGTGTGTCTGTCAGGACCTTCATGAACAACAGGACGTTTCAAGCAGAGAGCATGACATATGCAAAAATTAAGGAGTGAGAAAAAGCTAGGCATGTCCACAGAGCAGAGAAGACAGTGGCTGATGGGAGGCTGGCAAAAGGGAGAGAGGGGAGATGGTTTGGAACGGTAACCTAGGTCTACCTTTGATTATTGTAAAAGACCTGTACAAATAGAGAAATGTAATTTTTCCCGTCTATAGGCAATGGAGAGCCATTGCCTATAGTCATGCTGTGTCTTTTATGTTTACAGTTTTGCTCCTTAAGAAGCTGTTTTTCTTGTCTTTACGTGCAGATTCTTTCCCAATAATTAGGAAACACTGCCATCATGTGGCTCAATGGATGCATGCTCCAAACTTAAGTTGCTGAATGTTCTATCATATTGTTTAATAATTAAACCAAAGAACACATCTCTGAATTCAAAGAGCTGAGGTAAAGAATGTCAACCTATCAAAAAAGGACATTTTCTATAAAGTTTTTCAAAAAATCAATACCTGGCTTCAATGACCTGATTTTTTACTTTGCTTTTAAAATTGTAACCTGGCCAGGCATGGTAGACTGTAATCCCAGCACTTTGGGAGTCCGAGGTGGAAGGATTGCTTAAGTCCAGGAGCTTGAGACCAGCCTGTGCAACATGCTGTGACCCCCTCTCTACAAAAAAAATGAACAAATTTAGCCAGGCATGGTGGTGTGGAGCCTGTAGTCCTCGCTACTCGGGAGGCTGAGGTGGAGTATTGCTTGAGCCTGGGAGGTGGAGGCTGCAGTGAGCCATAATGGCAGTACTACACTTCAGCCTGGACAAGACCCTGTCTCTATAAATAAATACACACACACATACATACATACATACATACATACATACATACATACATACATAATAAAAAATAAAATTCTAACCTAAGTGTTTAGAGATTCTGATCTCAAGAATCCTTTCTATTCCCAGTGACCCCTTATTTTAGACTCATAAGTTTTCTGTCCCTGCAATGGTTCCACCCTTTCCAGGGCAGTTTGCTTCAAGCTGTATCCAGGATCTTTCCCTTAACTGTGCCAGATTTTGTTTCAGTCCTGGGATTGTTCTCCTTGTAGGTCCACAGTTGGACAGACCTAAATTCAAATATCCATACCATTTTTTCCCTGAGAGCTTCAGTTACTGCATCTATAAAAGAGGCACGACATCGGCCAGGCGCGTTGGCTCACTCCTGTAATCCCAGCACTTTGGGAGGCCGAGGTGGGCGGATCATCTGAGGTCAGGAGTTCCAGACCAGCCTGGCCAACATGGCGAAACCCCATCTCTACTAAAAAATACAAAAATTAGCTGGGAGTGGTGGCAGGCGCCCGTAATCCCAGCTACTCAGGAGGCTGAGGCAGGAGAATGGCTTGAACTTAGGAGGCAGAGGTTGCAATGAGCCGAGATCTCGCCACTGTACTCCAGCCTGGGCTACAGAGTGAAACTCCATCTAAAAAAAAAAAAAAAGAAAAGCGACACCTTCTTCATAGGGTTATCATAAGATGAAGTGATAGCATGTGTAAACGGTGCCTGGTACACTGCAGGTCTTCACATTGAGGGAGTCGTGTTTCATCCCTCTGTCCTTGAGGACCTGTTATTTTATTTTATTTATTTTATTTTTGTTTATTTATTTATTTTTGAGACAGAGTCTTTCTCTGTCACCCAGGCTGGAGTGCAGTGGCATGATCTTGGCTCACTGCAACTTCTGCCTCCCGGGTTCAAGCGATTCCCCGCCTCAGCCTCCCAAGTAGCTGGGACTACAGGCGCCCGCCACCACACCCGGCTAATTTTTTTTGTATTTTTAGTAGATATGGTGTTTCGCCATGTTGGTCAGGCTGGCCTCGAACTCCTGACGTCAGGTGATTCACCCACATCGGCCTCCCAAAGTGCTGGGATTACAGGCTTGCACCGCGCCCGGCCTGGGGGTCTGTTATTCTAAGCACAGAGCTGGCACTTGGTGGAGGTCTGTGATCTGATTGATATCCGAGATTTACCTGGTCCTCGGCAACGTTCCTGAGAACAAAACTACTCATCCCCTCAGGTTTTGGGGACCATCCCTATTTCCACGCGTTGGCGGTGGACCCTGGGCTCGCTGGGGTTTGCAATCCACGTGTCTCCCCTGCGCGCAGCAGGCGGCAGGTGCATGCGTGTGAGTAGGGCAGGGCCCCTCTGCATTCATTTCTCGCCGCTCCCCCCTCCCCCGGGCCTGGGGGTTGTGTGTGTACATAATTCAATCCCCGTGGGACTGGCGTCTGGCCTCACGCGCGGCTTGCCGGATTGGCTGTTTCAGCTCGCCCCCGCCCTCCGTACACCCCGCGTCCCAGGTGGCTCAGGCCCCTGTGGTGATCTCTGTTTACCGAGAGAGCCCGTCCAAGTTGGGCTCCATCGCTGCCCTCGCTCCCCTTCGGGGCCCCCGCCCGCCTGGGAAGCAGAGAGAAAGCCGGGCCCAGCCCTTCCTCACCCTTCCCCTCCCCGCACCGCCCGGAGAGGTCGGGTAAGGGGGAAGGAGTGTGCGTGGGACGGGGAACCTCGGGCCTGGGGATCTGGCTGTCCCCGTCCCCGTACCTCGCGCGGACCCGGGAGTTCCAGCCCTAGGCCAGGCTCCGGCTCCCTCCGCCCCGCGCCATCGCGCTCGGAGTGACGGGCCCACCCCGGGCGAGCAGCCAGAGGCTGGATCTCAGGGATGCCAGCTCCCCAGCGGAAGCACAGGCGTGGAGGCTTCTCTCACAGATGTTTCCCCACCCCGCAGACGGCGATGACCCCCCAGCCCGCCGGACCCCCGGATGGGGGCTGGGGCTGGGTGGTGGCGGCCGCAGCCTTCGCGATAAACGGGCTGTCCTACGGGCTGCTGCGCTCGCTGGGCCTTGCCTTCCCTGACCTTGCCGAGCACTTTGACCGAAGCGCCCAGGACACTGCGTGGATCAGCGCCCTGGCCCTGGCCGTGCAGCAGGCAGCCAGTGAGGGGGGCCCTGAGGCGGGAGACAGGAACGGGGAGGAGGAGCCGTGAGTGGAGGGATGGGAGACCCACCTGATTACCCGACAACCTGAGAAAGGGCAACCGGCTCTAGAAAAGAGTGCATCTTGAGGTCAAGGAGAAGAACCATTAGTTCGAGGGAGGCAAACAGCCAATGAGAAGTGTTGGAGAGAGTTTGGGGGCCCGGGGGCGTGTCTTCCGTTGACTCCGCCCCCTTTCAGGCCCCGTGGGCAGCGCCCTGAGCACGCGCTGGGGGGCCCGCCCCGTGGTGATGGTTGGGGGCGTCCTCGCCTCGCTGGGCTTCGTCTTCTCGGCTTTCGCCAGCGATCTGCTGCATCTCTACCTCGGCCTGGGCCTCCTCGCTGGTGAGGGAAGTGGGATGCCCGGGTCATTCAGGGTGAAGGAGGTGACAGGAGCTTGTTGGGATCTGGGGTAGCGAACGAGGCGGGGGCCTGGTGCGGAGAGCCGGGCTGGGAATGCTGGGGCGGGCGTCCCCAGTGCCGGCCCCCATCCCCTCCTATTCATTCGCAGGCTTTGGTTGGGCCCTGGTGTTCGCCCCCGCCCTAGGCACCCTCTCGCGTTACTTCTCCCGCCGTCGAGTCTTGGCGGTGGGGCTGGCGCTCACCGGCAACGGGGCCTCCTCGCTGCTCCTGGCGCCCGCCTTGCAGCTTCTTCTCGATACTTTCGGCTGGCGGGGCGCTCTGCTCCTCCTCGGCGCGATCACCCTCCACCTCACCCCCTGTGGCGCCCTGCTGCTACCCCTGGTCCTTCCTGGAGACCCCCCAGCCCCACCGCGTAGTCCCCTAGCTGCCCTCGGCCTGAGTCTGTTCACACGCCGGGCCTTCTCAATCTTTGCTCTAGGCACAGCCCTGGTTGGGGGCGGGTACTTCGTTCCTTACGTGCACTTGGCTCCCCACGCTTTAGACCGGGGCCTGGGGGGATACGGAGCAGCGCTGGTGGTGGCCGTGGCTGCGATGGGGGATGCGGGCGCCCGGCTGGTCTGCGGGTGGCTGGCAGACCAAGGCTGGGTGCCCCTCCCGCGGCTGCTGGCCGTATTCGGGGCTCTGACTGGGCTGGGGCTGTGGGTGGTGGGGCTGGTGCCCGTGGTGGGCGGCGAAGAGAGCTGGGGGGGTCCCCTGCTGGCCGCGGCTGTGGCCTATGGGCTGAGCGCGGGGAGTTACGCCCCGCTGGTTTTCGGTGTACTCCCCGGGCTGGTGGGCGTCGGAGGTGTGGTGCAGGCCACAGGGCTGGTGATGATGCTGATGAGCCTCGGGGGGCTCCTGGGCCCTCCCCTGTCAGGTAAGGACCTGAGCTCACAGATCTGCCTACAACTATCCTCTGCCCCTGGGGTTCGAGGCTTCTAAATGCCCTTACCCATCTCCTCAGGCTTCCTAAGGGATGAGACAGGAGACTTCACCGCCTCTTTCCTCCTGTCTGGTTCTTTGATCCTCTCCGGCAGCTTCATCTACATAGGGTTGCCCAGGGCGCTGCCCTCCTGTGGTCCAGCCTCCCCTCCAGCCACGCCTCCCCCAGAGACGGGGGAGCTGCTTCCCGCTCCCCAGGCAGTCTTGCTGTCCCCAGGAGGCCCTGGCTCCACTCTGGACACCACTTGTTGATTATTTTCTTGTTTGAGCCCCTCCCCCAATAAAGAATTTTTATCGGGTTTTCCTGAAACCTCCAACTGTTCACCAATCTAGGACCCTGAAAATATTCTACATAAGACAGCCAGAAAGGCTGGTTCAAAGGAACAGGATCCCAGAAGGCCCTGGGTATGAAGAAGGGTGACTGTCCAGCCAATCCATTTCTCTTTGCCCAAGTCCTGGCCGTAACAGGGAATCTTTGCGAAGTTGTCTGGCAGCCAGTTTCAGTGTGTTGCTGGGGTTGGGGGCGGGTTGCTAGTGGGTGCTATCTGCCCCATCTTCATGTCCCTTACCCTAGTTCCCAGACCTCCCAGACTTAACTCTTCCCTGCATTTCAATCTCCTTCTATGGGCCTGAGGGAAATACAAGAATCCTAGGCCCAGACTTCAGCTCTATCAAAGCTATTCACACATCTATACCCTGTGTCCTCAGCATTCTCTCAATTTCTTTTCTTTCCTTCTTTTTTTTTTTTTTTTTTTTTTTGAGACAGAGTCTCCCTCTGTTGCCCAGGCTGGAGTGCAGTGGCGCGATCTTGGCTCACAGCAACCTCCGCCTCCTGGGTTCAAGCAGTTCTCCTGCCTCAGCCTTCCCAGTAGCTGCAACTACAGGCACACGCCAACACACCCGGCTAATTTTTGTATTTTTAGGAGAGACGGGGTTTCACCATCTTGGCCAGGCTGGTCTCAAACTCCCGACCTCGTGATCCACCCGCCTCGGCCTCCCAAAGTGTTGGGATTACAGACGTGAGCCACCATGCCCAGCCCTCAATTTCTTTTCTAAGCCACAGGGATAATGGGGAAGAGGGAGGTATGTGGTGGTAGCCTGGAGAGCAGATTCCAGGGTTAAAATGCCTTGGGTCATCGGAGCTCCTGGACACTCTCCTCCACTTCCAGGCATGACTCCATTCGGCCAACCCAAGCATATGGGCCCCAGCTCATTTTGAGGTTGTGATTATTATCCAATTTTCTTATTTGATTTTATCTCAAAGGGACAGTTTTGTTTCCCAAACATGTGCCTTCAGAGAAGAAACTCAGGAGGCAACACTAGAGATGTTATATAAAGCATGATAAGTCTCTTGGCCTTTGATTTTCACAGTTGATTCACAGCTCAGTGAAGCAGGAACTCCCGGATCCTTCAAAACTCCTGGGTCCTTTAGAAAAGGTTAGGGGAGGCTGGGTGTGGTGGCTCACGCCTGTAATCCCAGCACTTTGGAAGGCCGAGGGGGGGGGGGGGTGGATCACAAGGTCAGGAGTTCGAGACCATCCTGGCCAACATGGTGAAACCCTGTCTCTACCAAAAATACAAAAAAAAAAAAAAAAAAATAGCCGGGTGTGGTGGCTCCCGCCTGTAATCCCAGCTACTTGGGAGGCTGAGGCAGGAGAATCGCTTGAACCCGGGAAGCGGAGGTTGCAGTGAGCCGAGATCACATCACTGCACTCCAGCCTGGGCAACAGAGCAAGACTCCGTCTCGGGAAAAAGAAAAAAGAAGAAAAGGTTAGGAGAGTAACGGAGAAATAAGAGTCCTCAACAAAATACAAAGGGTTGGCACACACATTGCAGGAGCCCCAGGCCTGCTCTAGGGGGAGGCAGATCAAGAATCTTAAGGCACTGTGGTTCTGTGGAGACCAAGACGTGGCAAGAGAAGACCTGGAGCTGTCAAGCTTTGGCTTTCTGGGCCTGACTCTGTGGAGTTCAGTCCTCTTCCAGCCCCTCCTTGGGTAGGGGAACTTTAGTATCTAGTGCTTCTGTTACAAGGTCCTGGGGCCCGGAGGTAGTAGTTGAGAAGCAGAAGAAGTGGGGCAGGGTGAGGAGAATGCCACTCCCTGAAAGAAGGAAGGCCCCAGCCACCACAAAAGAAGCCGTGTAGTTGCCTGTCACATCCCGGAGGTAGCCTAGGTCCAAGAGAGAAAAAGAATACACATGAGTGATCTATTTGCTGGGGCTGAGGGCTCAGATACATTTTTGGGTGGAGGGAAGACTTATCATCTCAGAGGAGTTGGAACTCCCATGGAATAGTTGGATAAACTTAAGAACTCTGGTTTCCCAAAAGGGCCTCAAAAGTTAATTTCAACCACCTCCCCGCCTTCAGAAAGGACCTCCAAACCAGCCTGCAGGGATTTGGAGATCCAGATTGAGTCAGGCATACTTGTGCCTTTCTTTCTGGCAACTGTGGCCTTTCTTTTTTTTTTTTTTTTGAGACGGAGTCTCGCTCTGTCGCCCAGGCTGAAGTGCAGTGGCGCGATCTCAGCTCACTGCAAGCTCCGCCTCCCGGGTTCATGCCATTCTCCTGCCTCAGCCTCCTGAGTAGCTGGGACTACAGGCGCCCACCAACTGTGGCCTTTCTAAAGCTTCAGTTAATGGGTAAGAGGAGATAAAGGTCTGAAAGTTCTGGCACCCTGAGCCAGCAGAACTTTGACCAGGTGCCTCAGATACCTGGTTTGGGGCCCAGTAGGCCAAAGGAAAGGGTGCACACTGGAATGCTACGTCTGTGTCTGGCCAGGTTCTGCCAGGTCCTCTGCAAACCCAAGCCGTAGGCACCCTGCCAAGGGTTCCACTTAGCTTCTTTTTGTCTTTCCACTCAGACTTTCCCAGCCCCAAGTTCTTTGCCCCATGGACCCATTTCAGGGATGCTATGGTTGGCCACGCAGGCTGTGTACTGTACTACACCAGAGGGCAATATTCACATACACTGTAATGAGAATAGTACCCTCCCCTAGTTGTGCAACATGGCAGCCCTCACCCCCTGGGAACCCCATTCCACTTACCTGAGAGAGGAGGCCCCAGCAGCCCCCCGATGCTCTCTATCATCTGCAACAGTCCCAGGCCACAGTAAATCCTTCTAGTCCCTATTAGTTCAGGCAGCACGGAGAAGGCCAGTGGGGCCAGAGCCCCTGATGTGAAGCCGTAGGCCACAGCCAGAGCCACCAGGGCTGTGGGAGCCTGAGCTACAGGGAACAGGGCTAGTGACACCCCAGTCAAGGTGGTCCAGAGCATCAGGAGTCGTGTCACAGGCCCTGGGACTGCATCTCCCAGCCATCCGGAGACCACACGCCCCACGAGGTCAGAAATAGCAACAACTGAGAGTAGGAAGGCAGCAGGTAGTGGGTCCCAATCCAGGTCCTGGAGATGGGCCACCAGGTGGAGGTAGGGAATGAAGTAGCCAGTGTTGATCAGGGTGAGGGCAACAGTGTAACGGAGGAAGGGGCCATGATGGAGGAGAGAGGTGAGTTGGGCCCTGGGACCACCCACAGCAGGGTCCTCAGCCAGGGAGGGTGGGCGGAGGAGAGCACCACAGGCCACTAGGTGGAGGGAGAGGGCAGACACCAGCAGCAGGGACCCCCTCCAGGCGTAGTGGCTGAGCAGCCACTGGAAAAAGGGGGCAAATGTGAAGGAGGAGAGGCCCACGCCTGTCAGTGCCAGCCCGGTGGCCAGGGATCGTCGGCGAGAGAAATAACAGGACAGGCAGGCCAGGGTCGGAGCGAAGGTCAAAGCCCAGCCAGAGCCTGTCAAAAAGGAAGAAGTGGTGTTGAGAACTCTTAGGGAGCTCAAGGCACACAGTAATCCCCGCATTGCCCAGCAGCAGAATGTAGCACTTGCTTCGGAGTCCCACAGACCTGGGATACAATCTTGGCTTGGATACTTCATAGCTGTGTAACCTTGTGTGTTTTACTTAACACCCCCAGCCTCAACCTTCTCAACTGCAAAATGTAATAATACACTTTTTGGGATTGTGGAAGATTAGAGACAAAGTTTGTAAGGTAACTAGCACAGAACTTTGGAGTTAGACCTGGGCTCTACCATTTCTAGCTGTGTGACCTTCATTTGCCAAGTTGTATAAGCTTTAAAGCTTTTCCCCAGCTGTAAATCCAATAATGATATCGATTTCACAGTCACAGTACCTAGCACCTTTTTTTTTCTTTTTTTTTTTTGAGACGGAGTCTCGCTCTGTCGCCCAGGCTGGAGTGCAGTGGTGCAATCTCGGCTCACTGCAAGCTCTGCTTCCCGGGTTCACACCATTCTCCTGCCTCAGCCTCCCGAGTAGCTGGGACTACAGTCACCTGCCACCACGCCCAGCTAATTTTTTGTGTTTTTAGTAGAGACGTGATTTCACCGTGTTAGCCAGGATGGTCTTGATCTCCTGACCTCGTGATCCGCCCGCCTCGGCCTCCCAAAGTGCTGGGATTACAGGCGTGAGCCACCGTGCCTGGCCCCTAGCACCATTTTATAGTAATTCTTCCTTTTACACTCCAGTCCCATTAGCCCTGGGCTTCTGGGCTTGTATACTTGGTTTCATCTTTTTTTTTTTTTTTTTTGAGACAGAATCTTGCTCTGTCGCCCAGGCTGGAGTGCAGTGGTGCGATCTTGGCTCACTGCAACCTCCGCCTCCCGGGTTCAAGCGATTCTCCTGCCTCAGCCTCCCGAGTAACTGGGATTAGCGCCACCAGGCCCGGCTAATTTTTGTATTTTTGTAGAGACGGGGTTTCACCATGTTGGCCAGGCTGGTCTCAAACTCCTGACCTCGTGATCCACCCGCCTCGGCTTCCCAAAGTGCTGGGATTACAGGCGTGAGCCACCGTGCCCGGCCAGGTTTCATCATCCTTGAATTTCCTAATTCCTCACCATGTTTGTCGCTTTAGTCATTCCTATTAAGAATTCCCTTCTGGGTACAGGTGCTAGCTAAACTTTCCCTCAGCTTCTCCCCGAACCCTTTGGAAGGAGCAGGAAGGAGGTGAACATCCAACGATCTAAGCATTTGACTCTCCTGCCCTTGTGCAGGCTCTCACCTGACAGCAACCCAATACTCAGGTATAGGTGGGTCAAGGAAGTAGCAAAAGAGGCGAGCAGCATCCCCAGCGCAGCCAAGATGCCTCCAGTCATCACCACGGGCCTGGGCCCGAACTTCGTGCTCAGGGCACTGCCTACCGGGCCTGAGGAAGTGGAAGGGGCGCTGCGAGAAGATCTCAGGGGTCTCCCCCCCAGCATCTCCCGCCCCTCGCCCTTCCACTTCCCAGTCGCCGCATTCCCTCTCCCTTCCGAGGGTCGCAGTCCGCCAGATCCAGGCGCCGCACTCACTCCCAAACTGCTGCACCGCGATTCCTATGGAGGCGATCCAGGAGACGCGCGCTGCCTGCTCCTCAAACGCCGCCACAAACTCCACGAAGAAGACCCCAAAGGAGCGGAGCACCCCAAACACAAGCGCCGACTGGAAGAACGCTGAGAGCACCACCACCCATCCCCAGCCCCCGTCGGGGGGCTCTGTCCTGCGCGCCATCTAAGCGGTAACAGGGCTGCTGCCACCCAGAGCCTCTGCAGGAGCCGGGTTCTGGACGCCGCACCTCTGCACACCCACCCCCGCTGCCGGGTGGCTCGGGGCCGAGAGGGGTTGGAGAGGCAGGTAGAGAGGAAGGGCCCGACGAGGCGGCGAGAGGCCCCTGCACCTTTTCCCAAGGCGGGGCGATATAGGACTGAAGACCTGGCCCGCGCTGGCCGGGCCAGAGTCTCCCGGGGGCGTGGTTCCGCGAGCTCGGAGCTGAGCTAGTTCAAGCCGGGGCCGGATCGGTCCCGGTTCGGTGTTCGGCTGGGAGCCAGAGGGTGGAACTGAGTTTGGGCCCCACCCCTGGAGCGCGCCAGTTTCCGTGTAGATGATCTATTTTATCACTGGGGTGTCCGGGCCGGGCCACCCTGGAGCTCGCCAATGAGGACGCGGGGCTCCCGGGCAGGGGCGGAACGAGAAGGGCAGGGCGGGATTTAGGCATTGTTGGGGACCAGCAGTGAATGGGCGCATGCGTAAGGAGGGGCGTTAGGAGGCTGACTAGGTAGGGCCCCACGTGACGCGGGGACTGCCAGGAAGCTTCCGTCTCCTCTTCACCTAGCGGGCCAAGTCATCCCCGTTTCAGCACCCAGAGCCACACGGAAGGGTTAGTGGTGGGTAAACTGGGTCTGGAGAGGAGAGGACTCTCTTGCTTTAATGAGGGGTCCAGGAATTGCAAGGCCCTGTTGGGGGTAGGGGAGGGGTTAGGAGATGAGACTCAAACGAAGTGTTTGGCGCAGCGCCTGAAGCCACTAACACGCAGCCCTAGGCACGCAGACCTAGAAGCCTGGATCCCTGAGAAGTTCAACGGCTAAGGGAAGAGAGAAGGGGAATGAGTTGGACTCCTGGCGTTCATTTCTGTAGTGGGAACTCGTTCCTGTCACTTCTGTTCCCACTAACAGGAAACCTACAGGTCACAGAGACCAAAAATAACTGAGGAGAGGAAGGGCGGCTGTAAGCTCACACAGGGCCCCACCAACACCACCTACCTCTTCCTCACTGGGGCTGGAACCTTTTCCTCTGCCCTCTAGTAACAACCACTTCCTAACCACCTTTTTTGATCTGATGGTGGGGTAGACTAAAGAGACAAACTATGACCCTGGCCACTGGAGCAGTCAGCCCCCTCTTACCCAAGTAGTCCTCAGGCCCCTAGCAAACACTCCCCAGTCCTTCCCAGTCTCCATAACACCAATGGCTTGGATTTCCTGTTCCTTCATTATAAGCCATACTTCCCAGGACCCTGACCTTGAAACCGTGGACTCAATGTTCACTCCCAGATTACTGGGGAAAGCAGCAAACAAGAAGTGGAGGCAGGGAGGGAGGTGTGTAGTCTTAAAAGACATATTGAGCCTTAAATAATTTTATATGTGGGAAATAAAAGTAATCATCAATAATACACATATATACTTTCTAAGAGTCAAAATGTCGGCTGGTGGGGAATATGCCAAAGATACAGAAATTGCTGTGGCTGTATTACATAGTGATTAAGAA
Organism: Homo sapiens; assembly: GCF_000001405.40. Taxonomy (NCBI): domain Eukaryota; kingdom Metazoa; phylum Chordata; class Mammalia; order Primates; family Hominidae; genus Homo; species Homo sapiens. The sequence goes on along the minus strand of NC_000017.11, from coordinate 7,034,852 downwards.
CTCGGGTCTTTAGAATCAGATCACAGTTCCAGTCTTTTATTTATTTATTTATTTATTTATTTATTTATTTATTTATTTATTTTGAGATGGAGTCTTGCTCTGTGGCCCAGGCTGGAGTGCAGTGGCATGATCTTGGCTCACTGCAACCTCCACCTCCCGGGTTCAAGTGATTCTCCTGCCTCAGTCTCCTGAGTTTCTGGGATTACAGGCTCCCACCACAACGCCCAGTTAATTTTGGTATTTTTAGTAGAGACGAGGTCTCACCATGTTGGCCACGCTGGTCTCGAACTCCTGACCTCAAGTGATCCACCAGCCTTGGCCTCCCAAAGTTCTGGGATTACAGGCGTGAGCCACCGTGCCTGGCCCAGTTCCAATCTTGACTTTATTACTTAACTCGATCAAGATGCTGAATCTCTCAGTTGGTTTCCCCATCTGTAAACTGGGGATAATAGTACCTACTATTAAGCGTTGCCCAAGGGGTTCAGTTAGAAAATCCATGCACTAAAAATGCTTAGTTTATGTGCTGACATGCAGCAGGAGCCAAGTAATATTAGCTTAGCTGGTCTTATTGGTGTTATTTTCAACAGGGGATAAGCTGCTGTAGTGGGAAGTGAAGGAAGGTTTTAGTTTAGTGTTTTTTTTTTTGTTTTTTGTTTTTTGTTTTGAGATGGAGTTTTGCTCTTGTCTCCCAGGCTGGAGTGCAATGGCATGATCTCGGCTCACTGCGACCTCCACCTCCTGGGTTCAAGTGATTCTCCTGCCTCAGTCTCCCGAATAGGTGGGACTACAGGTGTTTGCCACTATGCCTGGCTAAATTTTTTGTATTTTTAGTAGAGACAGGGTTTCACCATTTTGGTCAGGCTGGTCTCGAACTCCTGACCTCAGGTGATCTGCCTGCCTGGGCCTCCCAAAGTGCTGGGATTATAGGCGTGAGCCACCATGCCCTGCCTAGTTTTTGTTTTTTGATTAAAAAAAAAAAAAATCTAATCCAGGTCATGGGTTTAAAAAGATTGAGAAACGACCACTGCGATGGTTTGAATGTTACCTCCAAAAACTCATATTGAAACTTAATCCCCAACTTGGCGGTACTGAGAGGTGGAAACTTTAAAAGGTGATTGGATGGGATTAATGGATTAATTAATCCCCATGAATTAGCCCACCATAATGGATTAATAGGTTAACAGATTAACCCCATCATAAAGGACTAAAAGGTTAATAGATTAATGGGTTATCATGGGAGGGGAATTGTCGGCTTTTTCAGACAGATCCAAGCTAGAACATTAGCATGCTTAGCCCCCTTTGCCATGTGACACCCTGTGCCACAGAGAGTCCATATCAGCAAGAAAACCCTCACTAGAGGGTGAGGCCCCTGGACCTTGGATTTCTCAGCCTCCATACTATAAGAAATAAATTCATTTTCTTTATAAATTACCCAGTTTCAGATAATCTGTTGTAAGCAACAGAAAATGAACTGAATGAGACAGAAAACTGGTACCAAGAAGTGGGGTGTTGCTGATAATGAATAACGGAAAATGATGAAGTGGCTTTGGAAGTGGGTGATGGGCAGAGGCTGGAAGCATTTGGAGGAGTAGGCTAGAAAAAGCCTAGATTCTGGAGAGGTCTTAGAAGACAAGAAGACTAAGAAAAGTTTGGAATTCTTTAGAGATTGGTTAAGTGTTTATGACTAGAATGTTGATAGAAATATGGAAGCAGCTGGGCGGGGTGGCTCACGCCTGTAATCCCAGCACTTTGGAAAGCTGAGGTGGGCGGATCATGAGGTCAGGAGATTGAGACCATCCTGGCCAACATGGTGAAACCTGTCTCTACTAAAAATACAAAAATTAGCTGGGCATGGTAGCACTCGCCTGTAATCCCAGCTACTCGGGAGGGTGAGGCAGGAGAATCGCTTGAACCAGGGAGTCGGAGGTTGCAGTGAGCCGAGATCGTGCCACTGCACTCCAGCCTGGGCGAAAGAGCGAGACTCCATCTCAAAAAAAAAAAAAAAAAAAAGAAATATGGAAGCAAAAGCCATTCTGATGAGCTTTCAGATGGAACTGAGGAGCAAGGTATTGAAAACTGGAGTAAAGGCCATCCTTGTTACGAACTGGCAAAGAGCTTGGCTAAACTGTATCCATGCCCAAGGGCTTTGTGGAAGGCTGAAGTTGAGAGTGATGAACTAGGGTATCTGGCAGGCAGAAGACATTTCTAAGCAGCAAAATGCTGAGGCTGCTGTGTGGTTGCTTCTAACTGCTTAAGATGATCTCACAGAGAAAAGAAACAGAGTGGAAACATTTGGAAAATTCTCAGCCTGGCCATGTGGTAGAGAATGAAAGAGCATTTTCAGGAGATGAATCCAAGGGCGTGGCCAAGCCACTTCTTGCTAAAAAGATTAACATGGCTAAAAAGGAGCCAGGTGCTCTTCCTCAAGAAAATGGAAGAAAGTCCCTGAACTCATTTCAGAGGTCTTTGAGGCTGCCCCTCCCATCACAGGCCCAGAGGCCTTGGAGGACAGAGGGTTTCAGGGTACAGGCCCTGGGTGCTCTCCATGGGCTCACCGCCCAGGGCAACCTCAGGACTCTGCACCCCACACCCCAGTGTAGCACTCTGTGGCCACCCCAGCCTGGTGGTGGCTTAAGTGGCCCCAGGTGTTCCTTGTGTGTGTGTGTGTGTGTGTGTGTGTGTGTGTGTGTGTGTTGCTTGTATTGAAGCTCCAGAAGGTGCAAATCATAGACCTTTGCTGCATCCTTGTGGTGCTAATTCTGCAGTCTTGCAGAAAGTAAGAGCTGTGAAGGCTTGGCAGTCTCCACATGGATTTCAAAGGATGTTGTTGAAAGCCTAGGGGCCCAGGCAGGGACTTGTCACAGGGGCAGAGCCACTGCAGAGAGCCCCCACCAGAGCAATACCCAGCAGCAATGTGATGTTGAAGTTGCCTCAGAGAGTGCCTGCCAGGACAATGCCTATTGGAATTGTGGAAGCAAGGCCACTGCAGAGCCCCCACTGGGGTAGTCCTTGGTGGAGCCATAGGAACAAGGCCAATGCACACAGTCCCCAGTAGGGCAATGCCTAGTACAGCCGTGGAAGCAGGACCACCACCAGGCCCCCAGAACTTTGGAATCACAGGCAGCAGGCAGCGCCCCCCTCCCCCCAGGAAACTTCAGGCACCAGACTCCAGCCCACCCACCAAAGCCACAGGGCTGGGTTGCCTGAAGCCTTGGGGATCCAACTCCCACCCTGTGTCCAGGAGGTGCCACATGTAGTCAAAAAAGATTATTCTCTACCTTTAAGTCGCAATGTTGGCCGGGTGCGGTGGCTTACGCTTGTAATCCCAGCACTTTGGGAGGTCGAGGCGGGCAGATCACGAGGTCAGGAGTTCAAGACGAGCCTGGCCAACACAGTGAAACCCCATCTCTACTAAAAATACAAAAATTAGCTGGGTGTGTTGGTGGGCACCTGTAATCCCAGATGCTTGGGAGGCTGAGGCAGGAGAATCGCTTGAACCTGGGAGGCGGAGGTTGCAGTGAGCGAGATCGCGCCACTGCACTCCAGCCTGAGTGACAGAGCTAGATTCCTTTCAAAAAAAAAAAAAAAAAGGTGTCATGTTGGCCCTGCTGGGTTTCACTGGGTTTCAGACTTTCCTGGGGCCTGTTTCACCCGTTTCTTTTTGCCTATTTCTCCCTTTTGGAATGGGAATGTGTACACTATGCTCGTTCCCACCATTATATCTTGGAAGTAGATAACTTGCTCCATAACTTGGAAGTAGATAACTAGCTCACAGATGAGACTTTGATGCTGCAATGAGTGAAGACTTTGGGATTATGGGAGTGGAATGAATGTATTTGTATGTGAGAAGCACATGAGTTTTGGGGGCCCAGGGACAGAATGCTATGGTTTGCATGTCTCCTCTAAAAATTCATATGGAAACTTTTAGTTCTCAACATGACGGTATTGAGAGCTGGGGCTTTTAAGAGATGATTGGGGGCTGGGCATGGTGGCTCATACCTGTAATCCCAGCACTTTGGGAGGCCAAAGTGGGCGGATCACGAGGTCAAGAGATTGAGACCATCCTGGCTAACACGGTGAAACCCCGTGTCTCTACTAAAAATACAAAATTAGCCAGGTGTGGTGGCGGGTGCCTGTAGTCCCAGCTACTTGGGAGGCTGAGGTAGGAGAATGGTGTGAACCCGGGAGGCGGAGCTTGCAGTGAGCTGAGATTGCACCACTGCGCTCCAGCCTGGGAGACAGAGCGAGATTCTGTCTCAGAAAAAAAAAAAGATGATTGGATTGGATCCCGAGGGTTCTGCCATTCATGGATTATGGGTTATCACGGGAGGGGAACTGGTGGCTTTATAAGAAGAGGAAGAGAGACCTGAACTGGCAATGTTTGCACACTGGCAATGTTTCCTGTGCTGCAGAGAGCCCCCACCAACCAGACGACCACCACCAGATGTGGCCACTTGACCTTGGGCAAAATTTTCAGTGTCCGTAACTGTAAGAAATAATTTCCTTTTCTTTATAAGTTGCCCAGATTCAGTATTCTATAATAAGCAACAGAAGACAGATTAAGACAACTACAAACTTTCAATGTTGGAGGTAGCTGCAGAGATCATGGTAACTGACTTTTTCACAGATGAGGAATTTAAGGCCCAGAGGAAGGTAATATCAGAATTAGTGACCTCCGCACCCAGCACACACACAGGACAGGGGAAAGGGTGGGAGAGATGCATGCACTGGACCCTGGATAGATTCAAGATACCCTTGCTGGGGGAGGGTGGGCTGGCCCGTTAGTTCTAACTCAGTCTTCTCAGTGCCACCTCCAGCCCCTGTGGTCTTTACGGGACCCAACTCTTATCCATCTTCCTTGGTGATGGAGGCATGTCGCCAGCATTAAGATCTCCAGCACAGATGCACGCCCCGGCCTCTTGATATTATTAGTGGCTTCCTGGTTTCTCCCTGCAGCCTCCACACCTCAGGCAGGAAGTGACTTCAGAGCAGCAGGATGCAGGTGGCTCCGGAGAAACTTCATGAAGTCACTGGTTCCTACACAATGAGCAGGAAGGCAAGGGCAGGGAAGGGGACAACGAGGACCATTTAAAATGTCTGGTGGGAAGGGACAGTGGAATGGTACAGAATCCAAGATGTTATCCAGGAGGAAGAGCTCTCTTCCTCGCTCCCCGAGTCCCCCAAGGCAAGAACCCAGGACACAGCAGGCAGCACAGAGAGGCTTCTTTATTCCAAGGATCTGATGTTGCAAGATCTAACATTTCTACCCCCAGGCATTCTCCACCTGCCCATCCAATCTGCTAAATAGAAATCATGATTCCTTCTTATAGACTCCTCCGCCTTCCCTTCTTCCTTCTTTAATTCTGCAGTGGGGCCATGGGGAGAAAGAGGGAAGAGGGAGAAGAGTAGCTTTCTCACTAGTCCCCAGGCGACAGCCACTAGAACTGACTTATTGTTGAAGTTCTACCCCACAAATTCAAAAGTGCTTCTTACTTTCTACCCTCGTCCCATAATCAGATAAGCCCCAGGGCAACAAGGGGCAGAACTATCAATCAAGGCTTCAGCGCTTCTTCTAACATTTCAGAGACTCCACCCAGCCAAGAGGCAACCCTGTTCCTCACTTTCTACCTACCTGGCCTACACCAGAAACTGCACCCCTCAACCAACCTCTTAATCCTACTTGAAACTTGGTCAACTAGAACAGGCCTTTGGCCTATGGGCTAGTCAATCTTTTACATCTGTAATGCCAACAATAATCCCAACCAAACTACAGCAAACCCAGAATGGAACTCAGCCCCTTTTCTTTTCCTATGGAAGGTTCTAATGCATTCACTGGTTCCAGACAGGAATGCAGGGATGGGAAGACCAGGTCACAGACCCAGCTTTTAAAAGGTAAGGTTACCAAGCACCATCCCTTCTAGAGGAAAAGAAGGTTCTGGCATCTGGACACTTGCCAGAAGATGTCCAAAACCCACTAAAGGAAGAAGGGGCTCAACTCAATAGAGAGAACCCCAGGTAACATTCAAACCCATATGCCTCTGTAGTAAAGGATGGGTTAACACTGTTTACCATCTAATCAAGCTAAAGAGTTTCATGATTCTTCCCTAGGCCATAACATTCATAGAGACTGGGCAGAGTCAGAAAAGGTCACATCATCTCTGATAAGGAATGTCTGATCTCTCCCCCATGGAGCGATCAACTCAGTGCTAAGAACAGGCCCCCGTGGGAGGATGATGGACTCCACTTGAGCCCTGGTGGGTCTCTACCACTATAGATGGATACAGCAGAGCCAAACCCAAGTGACCAGATTAATGGGACATTTTAGATTCTGGACCATCTTGCAGAAAAACCTGCCAGCCTCCACTTGGAGTGATACGGAATCCAGATACAGAATCCCCCACACCCACAGCCTCCAGGAGGCATTTATTATTACTTCCATTTTGGGCTCAACATAATGGTTCCTATCACCCTTGAAGAACAGAGAAATGTCTGTATCCATTTCTAGACTGCTAGAGAACCTACAACATCCAGAATACCAGAGAGGGTTCCTGACCCAATTCCACAATCCCGCATGTTCCCAGAGCTGCCCTAGAACAAATAAAGGTTCCAGACCTAGAATTACAGGGGCAGAACACAGAGAACCCCTTTTTCCATTTTAAACAAACTAACAAGCAAACAAACAGGAGAAAGAACAATTCTAAAGATAAAAGTTATGACAGAAATAATATAAAATACCCAAGCCAAACGAGAGAGCCAAGGGCTAGTAATCTCTGCCAGCAGAGCTGTGATCTCACCTTCTGTGTTTCTGGTCACTTTTAATCACACTTGTGGAAGAGGGGAGTGGGAAATGCAATCGAATGAAGGCCCCGGTGCCACCCAAAGGCCTCAATAAATTATATTTACAGATAAACTGAATGCAATGGGGGCCACAGGTGGAGGGCTATTCCCTTAGGGAGACCAGGACTCCAATCTCTCCCCTTTCCCAGCCCCTAGCTAGCTCTCTCCTCAGAAACAATCTGGCTTGTGGGGAAGAGGTTTTGACCAGCAAAACAGAGGCAGATCTAGCCAGGATCTGCCACCCCTGCTCTCCCCAGTGAGAAATTAAGAGGGTGGCAATTTCTGATACCAAAGTGGCCTGGCACACCCCTATGCCCAAGCCTGATAGGGAAGCAAGGCCTGGGCCTGCAGCTTTCCCACCCGCAGGAAGCAAGTGGGGCCTGGGCCTGCGCTCAGCTAGGGCCCCCCGAGAATGTGGTAGTGCACTTTGGTGTTGGTAGCAGCTCCGTGTTTCTGGCGCAGATGCAGCCGCAGTTGACTCTTGTGCCGGAAATGCAGGCCACAGGGGTCGCACTGTGGGAGGACAGCCAAGTCAGGCCCTGCCCCATCCACAATCACCTTTTAGGTGTTGAGCCGGGCGGCCGTCCAGCTCTCCCAGGTGGGAACTATCCAGCGGAAGATCAGCTCTTTGACTCTCACATCCTCCCAAATCCTCAGGGGTGGCTGAGGGGATAGGCCCCGCCTTATTTAGCAAAGGTTTTCCCACTTCTCAGCTCCTCTCTGAGAAAACAGTGCTCAGCCCAGGAGCATCACTTCTATACCTGCCCATCCTGACTCCCAGCCTCCACCCCTTATTTGCTTGGACTCTTCCGGCCACCGCTCATTTCTAAGAGATCTAGGGACAGCCAGGCCCGCACCTCTCAGAGCCCACCCCTAGGCAAAGGAGAGGTAATTCTAAGGCAGTGGGCAGGCCAGGTTGGGTACCCACGTGGTAAGGCTTCTCTCCGGTGTGGATGCGAACGTGGCTCTTGAGGGTCTGCAGGTGGCGGAAGCGGGTTCCGCAGGTAGGGCAAGGGTAGGGCTTCTCCCCGGTGTGGATCAGCACGTGCGCCCGCAGATGTGCCACCTGGGAGGGAGGAGACTTCAAGTCCTGCCTCTGGGAGGAACAGAACCCTCCCTATTGGCCCACCCCACCTCTTGCAGGTTTGCCTTGGAAGCCACTTGGAGGCTGGCTCCGTACCTGTACAAAGCGCGAGCCGCACGTCTCACACTTATACGGCTTCTCTCCCGAATGGATGCGGCTGTGCGTTTTCAGGTTTGCTGGCCGGTTAAAACGGGCTCCGCAGATTGAGCAGTGGTAAGGCTTTTCCCCTGGAGGCAGAGAACATGGGAGATCAGGGACTTTGCCCTAGGACAGCTGTGGGCTTGAAGGCCAGGGCCCTCTCTTCCCCTACCTGTGTGCACTGTACGATGACTGGCAAGGTTGCCCTTGTAGCGGAACGAAGACCGGCACAGCTGACACTTATAGGGTTTGTCTTCGTCCCCAGGAACCAAGGAGTCCAGCCCCGATGAGCACCCTGCCACAGCCTCACAGTTCTGGCAGCTGAAAAATTCACTTCCTGGGAAGGGGAATGGGTGACGGCAACCATAGTTATTAATGAGGGCTATCTAGGTACTACTGAATCCTCAAACCACACAGTAGCAGGCTTTCTGTTTCCCAATTTATTGTTAAGACTTCTGGGGCTGGTTTGACTTGCTCAAGGCCAAGTAAGAAGATAGTAAGATGAGCCAGATCTGACTGCACATCTGTCTGACTCGAGTACTCAGCTAATCTCCTCTTCAATAGCAGTGGTGGGGGCCAGGTACGGTGGCTCACGACTGTAATCCCAGCACTTTGGGAGGCCGAGGCGGTCGGATCACAAGGTCAAGAGATGGAGACCATCCTGGCCAACATGGTGAAACCTCGTCTCTACTAAAAATACAAAAAGTAGCTGGGTGTGGTGGCACGTGCCTGTAGTCCCAGCTACTCGGGAAGCTGAGGCAGGAGAATCGCTTGAACCTGGGATGTGGAGGTTGTAGTGAACCGAGATTGCGGCACTGCACTTCAGCCTGGCCACAGAGTGAGACTCCGTCTCAAAAAAATAAATAAATAAAATAAAAGCAGTGGTGGTAGGTGGAGGCCCCTGCTAGTGGGAGGAGTTTTGTTTCTCCTCCTGTTTTTTTTTTTTTTTTTTTTTTTGAGACAGAGTCTTGCTGTGTTGCCTATGCTGGAGTGCAGTGGTGTGATCTCGGCTCACTGCAATCTCCACCTCCCGGGTTCAGACGATCCTTCCACTTTAGCTTCCTGAGTAGCTGGGACTACAGGTGTGCACCACCGTGCCCGGCTAATTTTCATTTTTATTTTTTGTAGAGACCACATCTGACTATGTTGCCCAGGCTGGCCTTGAGCTCTTGGATTCAAGTGATCCTCCTGCACTGGCCTCCCAAAGTGCTGGCATTACAGGCATGAGCCACCATGCTTGGCTAAAATCTCCTCCTCACTTGCACCACTCTGAATGACAGCCTGCCAGAGAGGCCCTGACAAGCTTTGGGCTGACCATTCAGCTCTGAAAGGGGATAGGCCAGAAATTCTCAAACTTTGCTGCTCATTGGAAGCACTGGGAGAGCTTTAGAAAAATACTGATGACTCGTCCCATGTCCAGATATTTTAATCTATGGAGTGTGACCTGGGCAGTGGGAGTTTAAAAGCTTCCTAGGTGATTCTAATTTGTAATAAAGTTTAGGAACCATTGGAATAGGCCTTTCTGGGAGAGTTTTTGGCACAAACTTGCCTGGAGCAGTCACGGGAGAAAAGCCAAGAAAGAGGGGCTCTTACCCGGTAGTGGACGAGCCCGTTCAGAGGGTGATCCAGAGGTGTCTTGAGCCTGGGATGTGAGGAGGTAGGGGGTACTGGCTGGAGCCCCACATTTGAACTGCACAGTGGCAGCAGTTGGAGAGAGCCTAGGCAGATGGCAAGGAAAGGGTTAAAAGAGATTGTACGGTTGAGGGGTGGGGGTTCTCTCCTGGGAAATTTGGAGCCAAAGGCCTGCCCTCTCAGGGTGAGCCAATATTGTTGACCAATGAGCCACATCCATTGTACTGCCCAAGTGCCACCCTGCTGAATAAACCTGGTCTCTGGCCAGCTCCTTAAGGTGAGCTAGTGTCTCTGAAACCCACCACCTATCTCCCTTCCTCCTGACCATCAAGGCCCAATGACTCTGTCTTCTAGCTGAGGCCAGCTCTGACAAATTCTTGAGGTTCTAGACTCTGTACCTGCTCTGGGGACCAGGAATGGGTCCTTCTTCACTGCTGCTGCTGCTGCTGCTGCTGCTGCTGGAGGCCTCGTCTCCACTGGGGAGCCTGGCTTGGGGGCAAGGTTGACCAGAACTTCTCTCCCCGACCAGGCTCCCTGCTTGGGAGGCCTGAGAGTTTAGCACGATGTACTTGTACTTTTTCCAGTTGCAGGCCTTGGGGTCAGGGCTGGCTGGACTGGGGGGGCCTTGACTGCAGCTTCGAGATTCAGTAGGTGGGTCTGGGTGTCCTTCGGAGCGCCTGGGACTACCTGGTGGAGGGGCCGTTGGGGGTGTTGGGGGTTCTGCTTCCAGGGGGCGCAGGGAGATGCCCAGAGGTTCATAGCTGGGGAAAGTGTGATGAACGTTAGTGCCATTTCCTAAACTCTGCCTTTGCCCTTAACACCTCACCCACAGAGAACGCCGAGCCAGGGTCCCTCACCTGGCCTGGATGAAGCGGTGGCATGCCTGGACCACGTGCTCCATCTGCAAATAGGTGGCGGCCGCTAGGACTGCTGGTGCAGTGGCTGGAGAGAGGCGCAGGCGCGAAGTGTACATGAAGTCCAATAGAGGGGCGAAGCCTCTCGCTTCGGGACCCCCGGGCAGAGAGAGCACGTCCACCCCGACTCCCGCACGGCCCCGGAAAATTGAATAGAAGAAGCCACTAGAGAGAGAGCAGATAAGTCCTTTGGGGGCTGGGGAACCAAGGGAGACATGCGCAGCTTCAGGAAGCCCCGCCCCCTGAAAAAGTCCCGCCTCCTCACTATCACCCCGCCCCCAATTCTGGGACGCTCCGCCTCCTGCTTCTGAAAGACTTGGCTTCGGATTCCCTCTCAACGGCCCTGTGGTCCCACCCCTTTCCCATTTGGCCCCGCCCCAGGCCCCACCCCTCGAACCTGCAGGCGATGAGAACTGCCTTGTGTGCTCTGAGGGGTTGCCCGCCAACCAGCAGCGTGACGTCAGTGAGGATCCCGCGCAGGCGCAGCTCGTTGAGGTTGCCCAGCACGTCGGAGGAGTGGCGAGTGAACTCGCGGACGTAGCCCAGCGCTCCCTCCGGGGCGGCGGGGGAACCCATAGCGACACAGGCCTGTAGAGGCCGTGGAAAGTGCTCTGGATCCAGGCAGTCCTAAGACGCCTTCCCTCCTCTGTTTGCCTTTTCCTTCCGAGGTGCAACTAGAGCCAGGACTTCCAGCCCCTAGCCCCGGCACACGCAGCCTCCCTCCTAATTCTTCTTGTTCATTCTGCCCTCTACGACACCCTCGCTCCCTTGCCTCTTCCAGATCCCACAGCGCTTGGAGCCAGTTGAAGGTTCCACACCGCGGCGTCGTTGGCGAGCGTGGGGAATCCCGCGCCCATCGCCCTGGGTTCGACCCCCAGTGCCCCTCCAGCACCGCCACTCCCCTCTGCGCGCCTGTGTCTCAGGTGTCCAACCCTGCCTCGAGATCTCACGGCCTGCCGTCCACACACCTCCAAATCCCAGCCGAGGCTCCCTTCCCCGAACTACGGAATTCTGCGACTCCTATCTAGTCCCCAATCCCTAGTTTAGCCCAATTTCTGGGACTCAGGCTCGCTGATGGCAAGCTCCACACAAGCTCCTACCCTCTTGGGGGACCCAGGAGTCTGGCTCCCTCAGTCTCTTGTTCTTACCCCCGTCCTGCAGGGGCCGCGGCTTCTCTTCTTAAGGGGGGCGGGGTCTCTCTCCCCTCTTGGCCTCGGCTCCTTTATCTGGCCGGGATGTCGGGGGCGGGGGTGGAGGTGGGGTGAACGCCTGGGTCTGTATCCTTCCTTCCTCCCTCGCTCTCCAGATGGCGAGTCCAGGGCGGGGTCTCCGTCTCGAGGGCGGGACCTCAGAAACAAGGGGTGGTCGTAACGTAGGGGGTCTTGGGTCACTGCAAGTGGACACGAGGACGGGGATATTGGAATTGGGGAGGAGGTTAGGGATATCGAGGTTGGCAATACGGGAGTCTGAGTCGTCGGAAGGCCTGGGCCAGTGAAAATTGGTGTGTTGGCTTTTGGGAGGGTTTGCCAGGAGCCAACCTTTGCTGCAGGACAAAGTGCATACGGCAACCCCCTCTCCCTCTCTTGTACTGTGTTAAGGGAGAAAAGGGGGAGCCCAACGAGACAGCAGGTTTGGGCAGACGACAGTGGGCTCCCGTAGGGTCTCAGACGGGGAGGGTGTGGTGTGAATGACAGGCTACTCTACCCGGGCCTACAAAAAGGGGGGCTCTGGCCGGGCGGGGTACGGAGAGGGCGGATATGATTTCTAGTTGGTTTCCTTCCATTGTCCTGCGACCGGACGGCTCCGCCAGCTGCTTCCCCTCGAGGAGGTGGGGAAAGCCCCGAGGTGGGGGTGGAGGGGCGAGAGACGCTCGGGAGACCTAGGCGTCCGGCCTCTCTCGCTCCCGACTCTCTTCTGGGTCCTTGTAGGGATCCAGAGAGATGGACTCCCGCCCAAAGCCCGCTTGCTTTCCCCCAATCCCAGCTCACGAGGGCCTCGGGCACCCGCCCGTCGGCTACGCTTGGAGGCTGGCGGGACGCCGGGGTCCAGCGCGGCAAGTAGGCAAGGCTCGGCAATGTGCGGCTCCTTCCACGAGGGGGCGGCCGAGCACTGGCCTCGCCTCGCCCCTCGTCTCCACCCGGCCTGGGGTGCGCTCAGACCCGGGCGCAGGATCCATTTGGTCTGGGCGGCTGAAACCTTTAGCCTCCTCCCCTTTGCGCGGGTTTATTTTGCACCTCTGTCTCCTAGGAGGGGACTAGGGCTGGGCGGAGGGAGCTAGAGTTAGGAGACCGAGGGGACTTTCCCCTCAGGCTGGGGTTCCTACCCGAGGTGAGAAATCGCGGGCTTTAGGAGCCAGGGGAATGGGTGGGACAAGAAGCGGGACCTGAGCCTGGGAACTCCGGGTTTTCTTTTCGAATTAAGCTAGACACTGCTACCCAGATGTCTTTGGAGGTGACTTTTAATTGAACATTAAAATTGGGTGGGGTAAACGAGAAGGGAAAACAAGGAGGAGGGAGAGAGGGCAGGAGGGGGCTTAACCACCCTAATTTGAAGTCCCTGATCTGAGAGATGGGCATGGATCACACCCTCATATTTTGTTTCGGGAGACATTGCGGGCAGGCAAGGCAAAGCTCATTTGGAGAAGGGGTGCTAGAGCTGAATCCAGCTGCAAGGCAGAAGCTCCCCGGATTTGGGCTGGGGAGAGTGTACAGTTGGCCAGGAATGGCCGACCATGGTCCACGGGGCTGGATATCAGGCCCGGGGCCCTCCCCTTCAGACCGGAGTGTGTCTTTATTTGAATGCATGAAAGAACAGCTGAGAAACCGGGAACTGGGAAATTCAGGACGATGAGGTGGCTTTGACATGTGAGGGTTATTTAGGTCTCTGCCCAGCTTGGAGATGAGAATTAGACTAGGGGCTCTCCCTTTGGCATCAGGATGGAGTATTATTTGATCAGTTGTGGGGTGTCTGTTTATTATGGGGTGTTGATTTGATTGTGAGCACCGGTGGCTGCATTCAGCCTTTGAGGCCTATATGGTAAGTTTCAGGTATGGGGCTGACTTGGAAGTTACATTAGTTCTGGGGGTTCTGACACCCACAATTTGGAGATTGTGCTCACCTGTGTCATCTTGGACTATCAGCAGAACCAAAGTACTCATGCTGATTTGGGGGTGCAGTCTATTTTGGGGTGCCATCTAAGTTTCAAGGCTCAGATTAGATTTGGGGAATAAGTTCAATTTGGAGTTTTAAAAATTAGTTTGAGGTGGAACATTATAGGAAGCTGGGAGCAAGTTCGAAGCTTTCTGTGATTGGGGGTCCTGGGAGGGGGGAGCAAACTTTTATATTTGAGTCTTGTGGACACTCACGTTCCACAAAGTGGAAAGACGTGGGGTATTCCTGTGTATCCATGGATACCCAAGAAGCTTTTTCCCCAGGGGAGAAACAAGGTGAGGGCCGCGAGGACAGGAGACTAAAGTTCTGGGGTGTTCTTATTTTGGGGGTGTTTTGTCACTCTGGCTGCTTTTGGTGAAGCTAAGGGATAATCATAAGGTGAGACTGATTTGGGAGTTCACTTAATTTGGACCCTGGTTTGGGATGTCTTTTGCTTATAGTGCCCTCTCACCCCAGATTCTAGAAGTTTCTTTAGTGAACCCCCAAATAAGCCCAGGATTTGAAGGGAGAAACTTGGAAAGGGTGTGGTATCTCCTTTTATTATTATGTGGCTTGAGGGAGAAGAGAGGGAGAAAAGGCGGTTTCAGACTCTGAATCCCAATTTCTTAAGGGAGCACCCCTTAGTTTGGGGGAAGTTGGAGAAAAATGGGGTGTCCCTTGGCCAAGTGGGCACCCCTGACCAGGGCAGTGCTGTTGGAACTGTGGCAAGGAGGGGTGCTGGTGGGGTACAAGGAGGTGATTCTTGCACCCTGATTTTCTAGGATGAGCCCCAAACAGAAAGCAGACAGAGGACTGGGAGTGTGGGTGAGATGGCGGGGAGGGGTTCCCCACGGCAGCCGGGGCTACAGGGTAAGCCAGGCCAGCTCTTCGCGCCTGGGTCCCTTCTCTCTTCGGCCCTCCTCCCCTCTCTCCCTCCCACCGCCCACCCCCCCAACCCAAGAAAAAAAACTGCCTGTGCAACAGCAATGGCAGATTCCAATCCTCCAGGCTTTCCTAAACCACCACGGTGACCAGCCAGGGGGGAGGGGAAGGGAGGAACGGGCTTTCCTGCTTCCTTAAGACAGGGGCAATGAGCTTGACCTCCTGGCCCCTAGCCCTTTGAGGAGTGATTCCCCCCGGTCTGGAAGCCAGGTGTCCTGGACCCTAGCCCCCGAGCGGTGGGGGGGGCCTGGAGAGACGGGGAGGAGGAAGGAGGGAGTGACTTCCAAAATTGGCATCGGGACAGAGCAGGGCTGGCGGGAGGCAGGCAAAAGACGGAATTTTCCTGAAAAAACGGGGGTATCTGAGGACCCCAAATTTGGGGAGCTAGTCCAGGACCGTCCTCCCAACATCCTAGATTTTTTTGGGATTTTTTGGGGACCCCGGGACCCCTCTAGATGGGGTGAGGAATGTAGTGTTGGGTGAATCTGACTGGGGCATTGCAGCTGCCTCTCCCGCCGAGTTGGAGACGGATGGGCTGGGACGGGTTTTGGGGGGGTGTCCCCAATTCTGACTGGGAGTGGAGGAACCCCTCCTGAGATCTCTTGTGGGGGTGCCCCCTCCCCAGGGCACTCCCCAGTCCCTGAGCCAGCCGAGAGGAAGGAGGCCAGCGATGCGACTGGGGCGGCTCCTTTCTCCTGCACCCCAAATGTGAGGGATGCACCCTAAATTTTGCTCTTTTCAAAATAGGGGACCAGGATCTCAGGGGAGAGTAGCTGAGGTAAGTGGGGAGGGAAGTGTCCTCTGTTTTCAGGAGAGACGTGGCGGTTGGGGGGGAGGTTTGGAGGTGCGTGCTGGGGTGGGGTTGGCTTTGTCAGTCTTGGAATTGGGGGGATGATTGGAGAGGCTTTCTCTTATACCCCTAAACTGCAGCCCCCCAGACGGAAACCAAAGGCTGAGACCAGAGAGCCCCCCAACATCCCCAGCCGTTAGGATAGTGTTTAATTTCTCTTTCACCCCCCACAAAGGCTCTGCCGAGGTAGGAGCTGGGGGCAACTGTTAGTTTGGGGGCTATGGAGGGTGGTGGAGGAGCAGGAGGCCTTGGCAAGATTTGATGGAGGGCAGATAGGGGTGTCCGGGAGGGGTCTGGCATCTTCGGGGGCCTAAAAAGACTGCTTACATACACCACCTTGGATCTTTCAGATTGCTAAGAGTTTTGGGGGGTGTGTCGGAAGAGGGGGTGGTAAAAGATGCGATGGGATATAGGAAGATAACTTCTGGATTTTAGGGGGTCATATTTTGATTTGCAAAAGGAGTTTTGGCCCTTGGATTTTGCTTTCTGAGGGGTGTTTTTAAAAAATCAAGTCCTGGACAGGAGAAAAGGGCTGAGGGAAGGCCTGGAGTTGGGGGTGGGGAGAGGCATGTTTGTCTCAGCTTAAACGTGGCTCTCTGGGGTGGGCCCGCCTGCCCTGGCCTGGTGGATGGGCTGATGGAGGTTGCTGTGGGGGCCGGCTCGGGTCCTCAGGGGCCCTGGGGAGTGGGAACAGCACTGGGGGTTGAATACCTGGCCCCCCAGGTCCAGATGGCCCTCTTCCTGGGCTCTGCTGCTCCCCTTCCCCCTGGTCTCCATTTCCTGCCTTTGGCCTCCATCTTGTGGCAGGCCCAGGGCCCAGGGCGACTTCCGGCCCCCCTCTCCCAACCATGTTCCGGCCCCACCACCTCTGGACTGCCAACTCCCAACCCTGCTGGCCTTGGCCCTCTGTCTCTCCTTGCTTTTCTCTTGGGTTCTGACCCAGGGAGAGGAAGGACGGACACAGGAAGCCTTGGGTCCCTGCCCTTGCTGAGACAGGAGGCAGTGTGTTGGCCCCTCCAGTCATTCCCTATTTCTTCTGCCTCTGACCCCACCCTAGGGATCCCCTGAGCTGAGTTCCTACAGAGGGAAGATGGTCCAATCTTACTACACTGTGAGCTCATCCCCATGGTCCGTCGCCTTCCAGTTGCCTGCTCAGCCCGTCCCTGGTTCCTCCCAAACGTTTTTGGGGGCCATGTTTGCCTTTTAAGGCTTCTCTATCCCCCCGCTCCTGGAGGTGGTGCTGGGGTCTTCCCAGCACTGCTATGTGCTCTCTTCCTTTCAACCCACCCCGGTCCTGCTCCCGCCCCAGCAGCACACTGTGGTTTGTACGGCACTGTGGCCACGTCCAAACCACACTGTGGTGTTAGAGCGAGGGTGGGGGAGGCACCGCCGAGGCTTGGCCCTGGGAGGCCATCCTGGAGAAGTGACACAAAAAACATCTGGGGCCTTGTGACAAACTTCTTGCCAGGTGGGCAAGGAGAGGGTGGGGTATGTAAGCACCCCTCTAAAATCTCCAGGGCAGTTTCAAGAATACTGATGGCCAGAGACCCTGGGAGTAAGTTCTGCCTCAAGAGAACAAAGTGGAGTCTTTGTTGCCCACACCCAGCTTCCCTGGCTCTAGCAGCACAGAAATATTGGCACAGGGAAGCGAGTCTGCCAATATTGGCTGTGCTGCTCCAGGCAGGGTGGTGAAAACTACCGAGGAGGGGCTGAGCCCCCATGGGCCGAGGAGAGAAGAGGGAACAGGCCTCTCCTGCTAATAATGTTAAGCAGACAGCACGAAGCTGAGAGGGAAATCTTTATTGTTTTCTGTATAAAAATGTCCATCAGATGAAGGTCAAAGGGGTTGGGGGCAGATGCTTATGCGGGAATAGCGAGGTGGCAGCCCCAGCAGCCTTTCAGCCCTCTCTCGTGCAGGCCTTGCTCGGAGTCCCAGGAGATCCACAGGTCCGGCATGAACAGTGAGAGGTCAGAGGTGGAAGGCTCAGCAGGAGAGGAGAGGAGGATCAGCAGAGGTCATGAGAAGGCCAGAATCCAGGGTCAGGCTGTCTGGAACAGGAAGTAAAATGGGCCGAGATGGAGCGAGCCCCCAGTGTGCTTCCAAGGCCACTCCCACCTCCCTGAAACACCCTGCTACGTACTGATCCAATGCCCTGCGCTGTGTATGAGAGCACCTTCTCTTCTGAAACCCCTATACAAGGGAGGGGCCCCTGCGGAGACCGTGCCCTGCCATCCAGGTGAGCCCTTTCTCCCCAACCCCGTCAGCTGTGTGGGAGGAGGAGGACTCCTACCCTGGTCGAAGTTGAGTTTCTTAGCTGGAGGAGTTTCTCCTAGCCCTTCAATATCCACCACGTCACTGTTGGCATCGGAGTCGTTCAGAGCACTGAGTGTCACATCTGGGAAGGGGGCATAAGCTAGGTTCTAGGTTCCCCTGACAGCCTCTCCCCCAGCCCCAAGCTTCCCAAAGCTTTGTGCCTCCTCTCCCCTCCCCTCTGCCCCTCTCTGGGAACCTCCACAGGGACAGGAAGAGAGACTGACCCTTCTTTGACCCAGGCCCAATTCTCTCACTAAACCTCAGATGGGACCTTTAACCCCTAGGCAGCAACTCCACAGCCCTCACCAGCCTTCTGTTTCTTTATGGGGGGACCCCCGGCCTCAGGGACACTGGAGCTGCTGGGAGGAGGGGCAGCTGGAGGAGGTGACAAGACACCAGATGCCACCTTCTTGGGCCCTTTCTTGGGTGACTCAGCTGGAAGGGGGATGCCAGAATCTTCATATACCTTGCGTTTCACAGTGGCCTTTATCTGGGCCCTGAAGAAAAGAGAGAAGAGGTTAGGAAAGGAGTCATCAGAGAGACTAACAGAAGAGGGGACGGGAGGGGAAGGGGTTCTGGGAGTCCCTTCATAAGAATCCAGGTCGGGGCCCCAACCCATTGGTAGGGTTCTCACTTTCTCGAAGTTTTACACTCACTCAGGATGGATGGAGTGTGGAGAGTGGAGTCCCTGAACTGAGTAGTGGGAAAGGCCCATCTCCTAATTCTCTTCTGGGAGAGACATCAGGTAGAGCTTGGTGATTTACAGGTGGATTGAGATTTACTGATCAACTAGTTCAGGGTCACCATATCCCTGGAAACACTGCAGTGGGGTCCTCAAACATTTATATAAATAACCAGGGGACTTCCATCATCAAATACAATAACAGCATCTCAGGCAACCTAAATTCACATTCTTGGAAGGATTACCACAGCATTTTAGGAACTTCTGACCAACTGTGACAATTCTATTCTTTCAGTCCTCAAGGGGATTCTAAAAAACTAGTGACAAAGTAGGGAAGCAGCTGAGCTGGAAAGGAGTTCTGAGGACGATGGAACCTTGGGTAAGGAGGAAGAAGGCTGCCCACCCGCCCTTTTCTGGCAGCCACCCTCCCTCACACTGTCCGTTCCTTGATGACACAGCTGATGTGATTAAGATCGTCCCCAAATCGCTTCACAGCAGCCCTCAGCATCTCTATTTCCGTCTCCGTCCACTTCGCACTGTCAGAAGGGGAGAGGGGGGATAGCAAAAATGGGAGGGGGGGTGTGGAGCCCGCCCACAGGCTATGCATCCCACAGCCAACCAGCCGCCTCCTTCCGATTTCTGGGACCCCTTCCACGGATGCATAAAGAGGTCCTCCGTAAGGGGAGGCGGAAAGCTCTTGAGGCCCTGCGGGAACCGGGAGGACCCCAATCACAAGAAATCACAACCACCTCCACCTTAGACACCCCTTTCCACCATCAACGTTAAACGGCTGCTGTACACAGCACACTGAAACCAACTCGCCAGGAAGGGCTTTTCAAAACAGACCCACCAACACAGCCTGCAGCCGTCTGGGGGAATTCCATGAACTGGGGTGGTTGGGAGTGGCGGTGGTTTGTGGTCGACCCGTTCGCAGCAGGGAGAACTGTGAAACAGGAGTCTGGGCTATGGGCCTGTCTGTATTTTTATCTGTCATTCATTCCCTCACCCAACGATCATTTATTAACACCGACTCTGTGCTGTGCCACGCACAAAGGGAAACTAATGTCTGTCCCTGTGCTAGAGAGGGTCCGTGTCTGTGACCGAGTCCAAGCGCCCGCTCTCAGCGTCCACGTCCCAGTCCGGGCTCACGTACCCCGCAGGAGAAGAGTCGGCCACGGGATGCAGCTGCATCGTCAGCTCCCCGAGCTTCGTGAAGGCGGCGCCGGCCGCCGAGAAGATCTCTCCGACCTGGGGGCGGGGCAGCGTCACGGGGGGCCGGCGCCCGCCCTCCCCGTCCCGCCCGGAGCCCCTAGCCCCACCCCAGGCTCGGCTCCCGCCCGCCCCCCGCCCGGGGCGGAAGAGCCGCGAGCCAAGTGGGGGGCCCGCCCTCCCGTGGCCGCCAGGGAGCGCTGTCCGCGAGGGAGGTCGAACCTTTGTGGACGCTGACGTCATGGCCCCGCGCGCCTCCTCACGGAGACGCCGCCGCCGCCGCTACACGCGAGCCGGGACCACGGAGAGCAGGGAGACTGAGCGGCTCGGGCCCCCGCGCAGGAAGTCCCGCCCTCCCCGCAGCGGATAGGCTCAACCCGGCGGCTCCCCGCCCCATCAGACGCAGTCGCTTAGACCGCTCGGCGCGCCCAGTCGATGGGGAAAGCCTTCGCCTCACTTCCGCGCCACACTTCGCTCCACTTCCGCTCAGACATCGGGACTTTCCAGGCAGAGGCCGACCTCTAGTCTCAGCCCCGTGCTCGCCCCCACTCAAGCACAGACACAGGGCTGAAGAGAGCAGATTCTCTTTATTGAGATACGGGACACAGCGAAGGGTGGAGAAACGGAACAGCCCCCCAGCCTCAGCCCTCTCCACGGGGGCCGGATGCCAGAGATGGGAGAAGGGATTCAGTCTCTCGCCCGGGAAACCCAGTCCCGCAGAGGGCGCCGGCAAGGGTGGGACGCGACCTGGGTGACACGGTGCAGGGAGTCTTTAAATAGAGGAGGGGCTGGAGCGGGGAAACGCGCCGGGGCCCTAGCGCACCATGTATTCCTTGCGCTTATTGAGCCGAACTTGGCAGAAAGAGAAGCCTCCGAGGAGGAGGTAAAGGCCTGCAGCGATGAAACAGTTGTAGCTGACTTGCTCGTAAAGGTTGTATATGTTCTGGGGGCCATTCCTGGGGGTGGGAATGAAGCAAAGGGGTCAAACTTTAATAGGAGCCAACATTTTCTGAGCACTATGTGCCCGACACCTGTTTAGGCGCTGTTACGTGTATTACTTTATTCAATCTTCTTGACCATCCTATGGGGTGAGATCTGTCATAGCCATTTTGCAGAGGTGGACTGAGAAGCACAGAAAAGTAAAATACCTAAAGAGGTCACACCTAAGGTGGTGGGTTTGGGATGGCCGCTGAGGTCTGACTCCCTGGCTCCTAACCACATTCTCAAGAAAGCCGCTCTCCTCTCCAAGTCCTCTAACCTAGGGGCCCTAAGCACCGGGCCTCCCAGACGTAATTCTGACCCTAGGCCTCGCCACCTCCCACCTGCTCCCAGCCCGCCTCCCCCACCCGAATACTTACTCAAAATCTTTCTCCGTGAAGGGAACGTCCTCAATCAACACAGCGGAATGGACATTGAAAAATATTCCGAGCATTATCTGGAAAAGGGGAATGGGTAGACTGTTGAATTCAGGCACCTGACCTCATGTTCACTTCGTAAACCCCTCCCATTTCCAATGTTGCTACAACACCCGAGCCTGAGATTAACCAAAACGAGGTGGTGGTTACTGGATTCGGACTCAGCCACCTGGAACAGGGCGTGAGGTGGTGACATTGAGACAAGTGGTCGAGGCAAGGGTGGGAATAGTGACCAAGCCATCTCTCCCAGGAACCCAGATTATCGTCCTCTCTGGAGGCGTCATCATCACGGGACAGTGCGGAAGAGGGGAGGGAGAACCGGCACTTCTTCATATCATTTCTTCTTGAAGTGGCGGTGGGTGGATTACTGGGAAAACAAGGCCCAGCTACACATTTCTGGAACAAGCACTCTCTTTTCCTCCCATGTCCTCCATTCAACTCAAGCACCTCTCAGGCACCCCGCTCTTGTTTCTCCTACCTTGAGGGGTCTCCACCTTTACCAGCCCTGGCTCCTCCCACTCCAGGGCCCTCCGCTCCAGTTCCCTTTTTTCTTTTTCTTTGGGGACGGAGTCTCGCTCTGTCACCCAGGCTGGAGTGCAGTGGCGCGATCTCGGCTCACTGCACCCTCCGCCTCCCGGATTCAAGCGATTCTCCTGCCTCAGCCTCCTGAGTAGCTGGGATTACAGGCGGGCGCCACCACGCCCGGCTAATTTTTGTATTTTTATTGGAGACGGGGTTTCACCATGTTGGTCAGGCTGGTCTCGAACAGTTCCCATTTTTCAATTTCAGTCTGTCTCCTTCTCCGGGGCCTGTAGATCCCCGGCCCCTCCGGCCTGCCTGCGGCCCAGAGTTTCCTCGCCTCCCAGCCCTCCCAGCCCGGAGCCCCTCAGGCCCTCTCCGATCCTTGCCGGGGAGTCCCCTCACCAACATGATCACTCCCCAGGCGCTGAGGACGATGCCGCAGGCGGCCAGCTTCGGCCCACAGCACAGGAGCGACGCCATAAAGAAGGGAGTCGGGGATCGCCGAGGTGCAAGCGGGCTCGGAAAGCGGTGGGAGAAAGCCCAGGATGCCCTCGCAGGGGGGCAGAGGGGGCGTGGCCCCGGCCTCAACCATCCCATCCGGGGGCGGCAGGCGGAAAAGGCTGGGCTCCTCTCAGGACTTTCGCGGGAGACGGCGCCGTCTGAAACCAAAACTGCTCCTGGGGAAACCTTCCTTGACCTCTGTAGCTAGGGCGTGAGTATTGGAAGAGCGAGGGCCTCCGGTTTGTTGGTCCCCCTCCCCCCGCACACGGGAATGGAAGGAGCTGGTATGTCACGTGACCAAGCCTGTCACGTCACGTGACGAGGAACTAGCCTTAGCGAGGCCATGGGGGAAAAAGTCTAACTGGCGGAACTCCTGGGAACTGGGGCGATGGGCTCTTAGTATCGGAGGATTGGAGCCATCTGATTTTTACCTGAAATTCCTTAGTCTCTCCTGTGTTGGGGAAATGGTAAGTAAGACAGATTTTCACCAACAGAGAGCGTTTCTATCTCTTCTCTACTCCTCCCTTTTAAAATTGAGATTCTGACAGTGTAAAGGAGTTAGGACCCCCTTTTGGGGATCGGGCATGGTTTTGTGGCTTTAAAATGCTTTAAAATTGCTGAAGTTTCTTGGTATTGGAACTGTTTCTCCTAAGTAACATTTTATCATCGCACGTGAAATACTGTAACTCTCGGTGCCAAATCCAGGAAAAATGGGCGGTTAGGAGAAGTCCAGGGAAAGCCGACTGAGCAGGTTGTGAAGGTAAGCAGTCCTGTTAAATGTACACAAAAATGTCACTTTGCTTCTCTAAACTAGGAAAACTGATAGGACTTTTGAATAAGGTAGGATATAAGATTTAAAAATATAAATAGGTCATCCCCTCCAAAAAAGCCGTTTGTATGTTTAACTGGTGAGTGACAGATCTGTAATAATTATTTAGAAATAGGAATGTCGAGGCGGGCGGATCACCTGAGGTCGGGAGTTCGAGACCAGCCAGGTCAACATGGCGAAACCCTGTCTCTACTAAAAATTACAAAAATTAGCTGGATGTGGTGGCATGAGCTTGTGATCCCAGCCACTCGGGATGGTGAGGCGGGATAATCCCTTGAACCCGGGAGGCGAAGGTTGCAGTGAGCTGAGATGGCGCCACTGCATTCCCGCCTGGGCGATAGAGACTACTTCTAAAAAAAAAAAAAAAAAGAAAAGAAAAGAAGTAGGGATGTTTGAAGAACACAGTTTTGCAGTGAGCAAGTTGTACCCACTCTAGTGAGGACAGTGACCTCAGAATAATTGAGAGGGATCATTTGACCTTGAGACCCCAGGACCTAACAAATAAACACTATCATTGGCTAGAATAACTTTGTAGTTCTTGTCCATTTATTTTGTGCATGTTGTTCTTAAAAGGCTTGTGAAAGATAACTTGGAATGTGGGAAACACATAGATCCCAGAGTATTAAAGGGGCTGGAAAAGTAGCCTTAAGACATGAATTATGTGCCTTTCATCTGGGACTGTTTGGAGAAAGAAGCCATTTTGGGGCAGTGGTTTGTATTCTGCCCCAAAAACATGATTCTTATTCAGGGACTTTTGGGGTACATGGGTGAATAGGAGAAATATGGGTGGAAGGAATTTGCCAAAGAACTGAGTCAGGAATTTGTACATTGGCCACCAGGCATGAAGGTTAGTTCCTGGGAATGGAGAGTTAGCTGAGGTAAGCTGATTTTTCTAAGAAATCCCCCTGCTCCATGATCTTGGATGTTTTGGAAGTAGGGTCAGGGCCTCAGGCTAGTGCAGGGTTCAAGGGCCAAATCCAGTCTGTAGCCTGGCTGTGCATGTCTCAAACAAAGCACATTTGTTTGTGGATTTTTTTTGCATTTTAAATGGTTGAATAAACCAAAAGAAGACTACTTTGTGATGTAACATTCATATCTCAGTGTCCATAAAGTTTTATTGGAACATAGTCACACTCATTTCCATGTTGTCTGTGGCTGCCTTCATGCTGCAGCAGGAGAGCTGAGTAGTTGAGACAGTGACTATGCGGTCTGCAAAGCGTAAAAAAGGATCTAGTCTTTGCAGAGAAAGTTTACTGCTCCCCTGGGCTAGTGGGATACTAATGTAGGGGGTTTAACTGGGGGAGGAAATAGAGCCTTAGCAGCAGAGACTTTAGGAAAGCATGAAATTCAAGATAGAAATGTCAGTCCTAAAGCTGATGTGAAATCTTGCAGGTAGAGTCACTCTAGGGCTCAGATGGTGACACTGTTCTCTATGCAGCTGGGCTTCAGATATTCATAGGGCCAGTCAAGTTGCTCATTCCGGGCTGTAATCTCCTTTTCCAGCTTTTCCAAATCTGTTCGGAATTGGTTTAGCACAGCTTTGGGCTTGGGGCCTGAGAAATATTTTTCTTTGTGGTGCCCCAGAGGCACCTGAGACAGAACAAAGGATCAGTCAGTTTCTAAAGACAAACGCACCTAGAGCCCAGCCCCTCACTCTGATGTTTCCTTTCCAACTGTCATTTCCCTCTCCCGAGAGTCCCCTCTCACCATGTCTGGCTGGCGGCGACTCAGATGCCATGAGATGGCCATTTGAAGACAGGCCTGCCGGACATCAGGTAGTGACCCCATCACTGTGGCCATCGTCACATCTTCCTTGGTGGTGGGTGGGGGCATCCGCATTGTGCATGGAGCATTAGGGACCCAGGCATACCAGTCCAGCTGGAGGAAGAAACTGTAACCCTAGAACCCTGGTACTTAGGGTTTGAACTCCCATCTCTCCCTCAGGTCACCTTGCCTTCAGGGACCTGGGCTTTCAGCTGTCCATACCTGGCCCTGGTTGATGGCGGCATGCTGGGCAGTGCACGTGAAGACGCACATGGTGAGGAAATGGCAGAGTTGACTCTGGGACTGGAAGGAGACAGGGAAACCTGGGCAGGAAAGGAATAGCAGTTAGAAGCTACAGCATAAGAGGAGAGGAACAAAGGCTGTTGTTTTGGGATGCCCATATTTTAGAATTGATGAATTTGTTTATTTTATTTAGACGTATTTGCATCAGACATGCGTTTAAGTCCTGGCTCAGTCACTTACACTTAGTTACCATAGGCCAGCTTAACCTATTTGAACCTCAGTTTTTTTCACCTGTAAAATATGGACGATACCTACATTATAAATGAGATGATGTATCAAAATCACCTGGTCTGTAATAAATGCTCAATAAGTAAGTAATAATTATTGTTATGGAAGGATTGGGGGCTGAAAAGTTCTGAGTGACCAAATATCCCTTGCCTCAAAAAGTGGTTAAGAATTGAGGGATGCGGCCGGGCGCGGTGGCTCACGCCTGTAGTCCCAGCACTTGGGGAGGCCAAGATGGGCGGATCACGAGGTCAGGAGATCGAGACCATCCTGGCTAACACGGTGAAACCCCGTCTCTACTAAAAATACGAAAAGTTAGCCAGGTGTGGTGGCGGGCACCTGTAGTCCCAGGTACTCGGGAGGCTGAGGCAGGAGAATGGCGTGAACCCGGGAGGCAGAGCTTGCAGCGAGCTGAGATCCCGCCACTGCACTCCAGCCTGGGCGACACAACGAGAGTCTGTCTCAAAAAAAAAAAAAAACCAATTGAGGGATGCGTGGTCGGTGACTCATGCCTGTAATCCCAGCACTTTGGGAGGCCAAGGCAGGAGGATTGCTGGTAGTCAGGTGACAGAGCAAGAGCCTGTCTCTATTTAAAAATTAAAAAATAAATAAATAATTTAGGAATGCGTAATCCTATTCCCAGACAGAATTACAAGTGTCTGCGTTATAATGTGGGGAATAAGTCATGGATTTCCAGTGTCACAGCTGAGAGGGGCTCCCACAAAGGTTATCTCAGTCCACTCATTTTGCAGTGGATATGGGGGCTCAGAGACCCGATAATCTTTTTTTTTTTTTTGAGACGGAGTCTTGCTCTGTTGCCCAGGCTGGAGTGCAGTGGCACAATCTCGGCTCACTGTAACCTCCGCCTCTCAGGTTCAAGTGATTCTCCTGCCTCAGCCTCCCAAGTAGCTGGGATTACAGGCTCCCACCACCATGCCCAGCTAATTTTTGTATTTTTAGTAGAGATGGAGTTTCACCGTGTTGGCTAGGCTGGTCTGGAACTCCTGGCCTCAGGTGATCTGCCCACCTTGGCCTCCTAAAGTGCTGGGAGACCCAATAATCTTATCAGTTAAGTGGAATAAATATAATTACTCTCATTTTATAGGTAAGAAAATCAAAGCCCATAGAGAATAAACTGTCAGGACTGCATAGTTGGGAAAAGGCAGAGGCTGATCTTGAACTCAGGTTCCTGACTGCTAATCCCATGGCATTTTTAATTTTAGCCTCTAAAATGTCTGCTGGGAAAACTAGACAAAAGTGAGCTATGAGAACTGAAAGAGAACAGGGGGGAGGGTGGTTAGTGGAGGTTAAAGTTAACATGTGTCATGAACTGAATGTCTTTGGCTCCGAAAAATTTTTATATTGAAATCTAATCCTATTGTGATGGTATTTGGAGGTGGAGCCCCACATGATAATTAGGGTGTGAGGGTGCAGCCCTCCTGAATGGGTTTGATACCTTTATGAGCAGAGGACAGAGTGCTAGCTTGCTATCTTTCTGCTGTGTGAGGATACAGGGAGAAATCGGCTGTGGGCAGCCTGGAAGAGGGGTCTCACCAGAACCTGATCTTGAACTTTCAGCCTCCAGAACTGTGAGGAATACATTTCTGTTGTTTATAAGCCACCCAGTCTATGGTGTGTGGTTTTTTTTATTTTATTTTTTTGAGACGGAGTTTCGCTCTGTTGCCCAGGCTGGAGTGCAATGGCGTGATCTCAGCTCACTGCAACCTCCGCCTCCCAAGTTCAAGCGATTCTCCTGCCTCAGCCTCCCGAGTAGCTGGGATTACAGGTGCGTGCCACGACGCCTGGCTAATTTTTGTATTTTTAGTAGAGACGGGTTTCACTATGTTGGCCAGGCTGGTCTCGAACTCCTGACCTCGTGATCCACCCACCTCAGCCTCCCAAAGTGCTGGGATTACAAGCGTGAGCCACTGTGCCCAGCTAGTGTTTTGTTGTAGTAGCCCAAACTGCTAGGAGCCTAAGGGACTGTACTGAGAAGAACTAGAGAGAGTTTGGTCCTGGAAGGGTAGGGTGGTGCAGATTCCCCAGGGAGAGGCTCCCTCCAGGGTAAGGAGGTTTGCCACATTCCCAGGATTCGCCATAAGGGCTCCCCAGTAAATGTCTGTAGTTGTCTCACAGAGGCAGAGGATGGTATTCACAGCCTAGATCTGAAGTGTGAGGGGGAGGGGCCGAAGGATGAGTGACAGCAGTCCAGGCTGGTGCCTGTGTGATTAAACCTAAGAGCTCAGCAAAGGCTTTTTCTTCCTCAGAGGTTCAAATGTGGGGAGTGAGAGTTGACTAAAGGTAGTGGCTAGATTTTGGCCAAGGGGTGGTTAGGGTGGAAGAGTTGGATTAGCCAAAGAAACCTGAGCCCCAAGGATCAGGGTGCTGAGTTTGGGTTTGAGGCAAAGCATGTATAGGATTGAGCTTGCATCAAGAGCTGACCTTGCACTGTAGCAAGCGTGCGGTATTCCTGGACCCTCTGTGCGTGCTGCACAGTGGCAGGCAGGAAGAGAGGGAGGGAAAGCCAGGGTGGGTCCTTGTGGGCTTCGGAGGGAAAATCTTCCCATTTACATCCTCAGTTAGGAAAACGGAACCATCAGGAGAGAATATGAGCCCAGCAGGGACTGTGCAGACCCCTCCCAGCTGTGGATATGGCCTGGGGGGCCCCAGGATATGGCAGTTCAGGGGCATCTGTGACTGGGGTGTAGTGGGACTAGGGGTTGATGGCCAGGGTCTCTGAGGAGGACAGTCCTTGGGTCTCTAGAATTGTCCTGAGTCGGAGGAGGTGGGAATGGGATACACATGCTTTCCCGTGTGGAGGGAGGAAGGGAGGCGTGATGAGAGGCTGGGGTCCTGTCCCCAGAAGGGCAGGGCTGGGAAGGCGCCCTGGCAGAGTCTCCCAGGAGCTTCTTCTGTCTCTAGAATGGATCTTACCTCGGTCCTGGGCCTGGCACAGCCCCACCTCCGTGATCTCCCGACACCAGGCCTGCAGCTCAGGGTCCCCCTTCACTATGTCATCCCTTTGGTAGAAGAGGTGGACGATCCCCTCCACATACCTGCCCAGGGGGAAAAGGCACTTGAGGGCAGAAAGCCCCCGCCTCTGACCTCTATTCCTCTTTCTGTGGCATCTGCCCAATGCTTCCACAGTATCTGGGAAGACACCTCGCCTTTGGGACATCCTCAGCCCTCTAAACACACTAGCATCTCATGGAAGATGTGGGTCCTTAGTTCTAGGAATTCGCATGGTTGCTGTCATACATCGTCAGAAAATCCTGATTT